>NC_000012.12:37333242-37334747 GCF_000001405.40 Homo sapiens
TATCAGAGGAAGGGTTCAATTCTGTGAGGTGAATGCACACATCACAAAGCAGTTTCTGAGAATGCTTCGGTCTAGTTTTTATGTGAAGGTATTTCCTTTTCCACCATCGGCTGCAAATCGCTCCAAATATGCACTTGCAGATACTAAAAAAACAGTGTTTCAAAACTGCTCTCTCAAAAGGAAGGTTCAACTCTGTGAGTTCAATACACACTTCACAAAGCAGCTTCTCAGAATGCTTCTGTCTATTTTATTTGTGAAGATATCCTGTGGAAAACCAATTCCTCAAAGGGCTTCAAATATCTACAAGCAGATCCTACAAAAGGAGTGTTTCAAAACTGCTTTATCAAAAGAGAGTTTCAACTCTGTGAGCTGAATGAACACATCACAAAAAAGTTTCTGAGAATGCTTCTGTCTAGTTTTTATGTGAAGCTATTTCCTTTTCCACCGTAGGCCTAAAAGTGCTCAAAATGAACACTTGCAGATTACACAGAAAGAAAGTTTCAAATCTGCTCTATCAAAAGAAAGTTTCAACTCTGTGAGTTGAATGCACCCATCACAAAGAACATTCTGAGAATGCTTCGGTCTAGTTTTTATATGAAGATACCCGTTTCCAACGAATTCTTCAGGAGTTCCAAATATACACAAGCAGATTCCACAAAAGGAATGTTTCAATACTGCTCTATCAAAAGACAGGTCCAGCTCTGTTAGTTGAATGCACACTTCTCAAAGAAGATCCTGGGAATGCTTCTGTCTAGTTTTTATATGAAGATACCCATTTCCAATGAATTCCCCAAGAGTTCCAAATATCCACAAGCAGATTCCACAAAAGGTGTGTTTCAATACTGCTCTATCAAAAGACAGGTTCAACCCTGTTAGTTGAATGCACACATCTCAAAGAAGATCCTGGGAGTGCTTCTGTCTAGTTTTTGTGTGAAGATATTTCCTTTTCCACCACAGGCTTCAAAGCACTCCAAATGAACACTTGCAGATACTACAAAAAGACTGTTTCAAAACTGCTCTAGCAAAAGAAGCGTTTCACTCTGTGAGGTGAATGCACACATCACAAAGCAGTTTCTGAGAATGCTTCTGTCTAGTTTTTATGTGTAGATATCCCCTTTACAACGAAAACCTCAAAGAGATCTAAATACCCACAAGCAGATTGTACAAAAGCAGTGTTTTGAAACTGCTCTATCAAAAGAAAGGTTCAACTCTGTGAATTGAATGCACACATCACAAAATGTTTCTGAAAATGCTTCTGTCTTGTTTTCATGTGAAGATATTTCTTTTCCACCATAGGCCTCAAAGCGCTCCAAATGAACACTTGCAGGTTATACAGAAAGAATGTTTCAATGCTGTGCTATAAAAAGAAAGGTTCAACTCTGTGAGTAGTATTCACACATAACACAGAACTTTCTGAGAATACTTCTGCCTGGTTTTTTTTTCTGAAAATAGCCCGTTTCCAACGTATTCCTCAAAAAGTTTCATATATCCACAAGCAGATTTTA
>NC_000012.12:37334767-37379851 GCF_000001405.40 Homo sapiens
TTTTCACATGAAAACTAGACAGAAGCATTCCGAGAAATTTTTTGTGGTGTGTGCATTCAATTCACAGAGTTGAATCTTTCTTTTGATAGAGCATTTTTGAAACCCCGCTTTTGTAGAAGATATTTCCTTTTTCATCATAGGCCTCAAAACTTTCTGAGAACACTTCTGTCTAGTTTTTATCTGAAGATACCCGTTTCCAAAGAATTCCCCAAGGAGTTTCATACAGCCACAAGCAGATTCTACAAAAGGAGACTTTCAAAACTACTCTAACAAAAGAAAATTTCCACTCCGTGAATAGAACATATGCATCACAAATTTGTTTCTGAGAATGCTTCTGTCTAGGTTTTATGTGAAGATACTTCCTTTTCCACCATAGGCCTCTAAGCGCTCAAAATGAACACTTGCAGATTATACAGAAAGAATGTTTCACATCTGCTCTTTCAAAAGAAACGTTCAAATCTGTGTGTTGAATGCACACATCACAAAGAACTTTCTGAGAATACTTCTGTCTACTTTTTTTGTGAAGATAGCTTGTTGCCAACAAATTCCTCAAAGAGTTTCATATATCCTCAAGCAGATTCTACAAAAGGAGTGCTTCAAAACTGCTCTGTCAAAATAAAGTTTCAACTCTGTGAATTGAACACACACATCACAAAGTTGTTTCTGAGAATGCTTCTGTCTAGTTTTTATGTGAAGATATTTCCTTATCCACCATAGGCCTCCAAGGGCTCCAAATGAACAATTTCATATTCTACAAAAAGTGTGTTTCAAAACTGCTCTCTCAAAAGAAAGGTTCAACTTTGTGAGTTGATGCACACGTCACTAAGAACTTTCTGAGAATGCTTCTGTCTATATTTATGTGAAGATTCCTGTTTCCAATGAATTCCCCAAGAGTTCCAAACATCCACAAGTAGATTCCACAAAAGGAGTGTTTCAATACTGCTCTATCAAACGACAGGTCCAACTCTGTTAGTTGAATGCACACATCACAAAAAAGTTTCTGAGAATGCTTCTGTCTAGTTTTTATGTGAAGATATTTCCTTTTCCACGATAGGCTTCAAAGCGCTGCAAGTGAACACTTGCAGATACTACAAAAAGACTTTTTCAAAACTGCTCTATCAAAAGAAGGGTTCCACTCTGTGAGTTGAATGCACACATCACAAAGCACTTTCTCAGAATGCTTCTGTCTAGTGTCTAGGTGTAGATATCCCGTTTACAATGAAATTATCAAAATGCTAAAAATATCCAAAAGCCGATTCTACAAAAGCACTGTTTTAAAACTGCCCTATGAAAAGAAATGTTCAACTATGTGAATTGAATGCACACATCACAAAGCAGTTTCTGAGAATGCCACAGTCTAGTTTTCATGTGAAGATATTTCCTTTTCCACCATAGGCCTCAAACAGCACAAAATGAACACCTGCAGATTATACACAAAGAGTTTTTCAAATCTTCTCTATCAAAAGAAAGGTTCAACCCTGTGAGTTGAATGCACACATCACAAAGAACTTTCTGAGAATACTTCTGTCTAGTTTTTTTCTGAAGATACCTGTTTCCAATGAATTCCCCAAGAGTTCCAAACATCCACAAGCAGGTCCAACAAAAGGAGTGTTTCAATACTGCTCTATCAAAAGACAGGTTCAACTCTGTTAGTTGAATGCACACATCTCAAAGAAGATCCTGGGAATGCTTCTGTCTAGTTTTTATGTGAAGATATTTCCTTTTCCACAATAGGATTCAAAGCGCTCCAATTCAACACTTGCAGATACTACAAAAAGACTGTTTCAAAACTGCTCTAACAAAAGAAGGGTTCCACTCTTTTAGGTGAATGCACACATCACAAAGCAGTTTCTGAGAATGCTTTTGTCTAGTTTTTATGTGAAGATATTTCCTTTTGCATTATAGGCCTCTAATCGCTTCAAATAACCACTTGCAGATACTACAAAAGGACTGTTTCAAAACTGCTCTCTCAAAAGGAAGGTTCAGCTCTGTGAGTTGAATGCACATATCACAAAGCAGTTTCTGAGAATGCTTCTGTCTAGTTTGTATGTGAAGGTATCCGGTTTACAACGAATTCGTCAAAGAGATGCAAATATCCACAAGCAGATTATACAAAAGGAGTGTTTCAAAACTGCTCTATCAAAAGAGAGGTTCAACTCTGTGAGTTGAATGCACACATCACAAAAATTTTCTGAGAATGCTTCTGTCTAGTTTTAATGTGAAGTATTTCCTTTTCCACCTTAGGCCTCAAAGCGCTCAAAATGAACACTTGCAGATTATACAGAAAGTAATTTTCAAATCTGCTCTATCAAAAGAAAGGTTCAACTCTGTGAGTTGAATGCACACATCAAAAAGAACTTTCTGAGGATACTTCTGTCTACATTTTTTATGAAGATAGCTCTTTACCACCGAATTTCTCAAAGGGTTTCATATATCCAGAAGCAGATTCTACAAAAGGAGTGTTTCAAAATTGCTCTGTCAAAAGAAAGGTTCCACTCTGTGAATTGAACACACAGATCATGAAGTTGTTTCTGAAAATGCTTCTGTCTAAGTTTTATGTGAAGGTACTTCCTTTTCCACCATAGGCTTCAAAGTGCTCCAAATGTGAACACTTACAGATTCTACAAAAAGTGTGTTTCAAAACTTTTCTATCAAAAGGAAGGTTCAACTCACTGAGTTGAATGCACACATCACAAAGCAGTTTCTGAGAATGCTTCTGTCTCGTTTTTATGTGAAGATACCCGTTTCCAACGAATTCCCCAAGAGTCCCAAACATCCACAAGCAGATTACACAAAAGGAGTGTTTCAATACTGCTCTATCAAAAGACAGGTTCAACTCTGTTAGTTGAATGCACACATCTCAAATAAGTTCCTGGGAAGTATTCTGTCTAGTTTTTATGTGAAGACATTTCCTCTTCCACCATAGGCTTCAAAGCACTCCAAATGAACACTTGCAGATACTACAAAAAGACTGTTACAAAACTGCTCTATCAAAAGAAGGGTTACACTCTGTGAGGTCAATGCACACATCACAAAGCAGTTCCTGAGAATTCTTCTGTCTAGTTTTTATGTGATGATATTTCCTTTTCCACCACAAGCCTCAAATCGCTCCAAACATCCACTTGCATATACTACAAAAAGACTGTCTCAAAACTACTCTCTCAAAAGGAAACTACAACTCTGTGAGTTGAATGCATGCATCACAAAGCAGTTTCTGAGAATGCTTCTGTCTACATTGTATGTGTAGATATCCTGTTTACAAAGAATTCCTCAAAGAGCTCCAAATATCCACAAACAGATTCTAAAAAAGCAGAGTTTCAGAACTGCTCTACCAAGGAAAGGTTCAACTCTGTGAATTGAATGCACACATCACAAAAAAGTTTCTGAGAATGCTTCTGTCTAGTTTTAATGTGATGATATATCCTTTTCCACCATAGGCCTCGAAGCACCCAAAATGAAAATTTGCAGATTATACAGAAAGAATGTTTCAAATCTGCTCTATCAAAAGAAAGGTTCAACTCTGAGAGTTGAATGCGCACATCACAAATAACTTTCTGCGAATGCTTCTGTCTAGTTTTTTTCTGAAGATAGCCCGTTTCCAATGAATTCCTCAAAAAGTTTCATATAGCCACAAGCAGATTCTACAAAAGAAGTGTTTCAAAACTGTTCTATCAAAAGAAAGGTTCCAATCTGTGAATGGAACGCACACATCACAAAGGAGTTTCTGAGAATGTTTCAGTCTAGTTTTTATGTGAAGATACCCGTTTCCAACGAATTCCCCAAGAGTTCCAAACATCCACAAGCAGGTTCCACAAAAGGATCGTTTCAATACTGCTCTATTAAAAGACAGGTTAAACTCTGTGAGTTGAATGCATACATCCAAAGGAGTTTCTGAGAATGATGCTGTCTGGTTTTTATGTGAAGATATTTCCTTTTCCACCATAGGCCTCAAAGCTCTCCAGAAGAACACTTGCAGATTTTACCAATAGAGTGTCTCAGAACTGCTCTGTCAAAAGTAAAGTTCAACTCTGTTAGCTGAATGCACAGAACACATAGAAGTTCCAGAGAATGCTTCTGTGTAGTTTTTAAGTGAAGATATATCCATTTCCAACATAGTCCTCAAATTGCTCCAAATATCCACCTGCAGATACTATAAAAAGACTGTTTCAAAACTGCTCTATCAAAAGAAATGCTCAACTCTGTGAGATGAATGCACACATCACAAAGCAGTTTCTGAGAATGCTTCTTTCTAGTTTTCATGTGAAGATACTTCCTTTTTCACCATAGGCCTCTAAGCGCTCAAAATGAACACTTGCAGAATACAGAAAGAACGTTTCGAATCTGATTTGGAAAAGAAAGTTTCAACTCTGTGAGTTGAATGCACACGTCACAAAGAACATTCTGAGAATACTTCAGTCTACTTTTTTTGTGAAGATAGCCCGTTTCCAACGAATTCCTCAAAGAGTTTCATATATCCAAAAGCAGGTCCTACAAAAGGTGTGTTTAAAAACTGCTCTATCAAAAGAAAGGTTCCACTCTGTGAATTGAACACTTATATCACAAAGGTGTTTCTGAGAATGCTTCTGTCCAGTTTTTATATGAAGATATTTCCTTTTTCACCATAGGCTTCAAAGTGCTCCAAATGAACACTTGCAGACACTACAAAAAGCCTGTTTCAAAACTGCTCTCTCAAAAGGAAGGTTCAACTCTGTGAGTTGAATGCACACATCACAAAGCAGTTTCTGAGAATGCTTCTAGTTTGTATGTGAAGATATCCCGTTTACAACGAATTCCTCAAAGAGCTCCAAATATCCACAAGCAGAATCTACAAAAGGAGTGTTTCAAAACTGCTCAATCATAAGAGAGGTTCAACTCTGTGAGCTGAAAGCACGTATCACAAAGAACTTTCTGAGAATGCTTCTGTCTAGTTTTTATATGAAGATACCCATTTCCAATGAATTCCCCAAGAGTTCCAAATATCCACAAGCAGATTCCACAAAAGGTGTGTTTCAATACTGCTCTATCAAAAGACAGGTTCAACCCTGTTAGTTGAATGCACACATCTCAAAGAAGATCCTGGGAGTGCTTCTGTCTAGTTTTTGTGTGAAGATATTTCCTTTTCCACCACAGGCTTCAAAGCACTCCAAATGAACACTTGCAGATACTACAAAAAGACTGTTTCAAAACTGCTCTAGCAAAAGAAGCGTTTCACTCTGTGAGGTGAATGCACACATCACAAAGCAGTTTCTGAGAATGCTTCTGTCTAGTTTTTATGTGTAGATATCCCCTTTACAACGAAAACCTCAAAGAGATCTAAATACCCACAAGCAGATTGTACAAAAGCAGTGTTTTGAAACTGCTCTATCAAAAGAAAGGTTCAACTCTGTGAATTGAATGCACACATCACAAAATGTTTCTGAAAATGCTTCTGTCTTGTTTTCATGTGAAGATATTTCTTTTCCACCATAGGCCTCAAAGCGCTCCAAATGAACACTTGCAGGTTATACAGAAAGAATGTTTCAATGCTGTGCTATAAAAAGAAAGGTTCAACTCTGTGAGTAGTATTCACACATAACACAGAACTTTCTGAGAATACTTCTGCCTGGTTTTTTTTTCTGAAAATAGCCCGTTTCCAACGTATTCCTCAAAAAGTTTCATATATCCACAAGCAGATTTTACAAAAGAAGTGTTTCAAAACTGCTCTATCAAAACAGAGGTTCGACTCTGTGAATTGAACACCCCCATGACAAAGGAGTTTCTGAGAATGCTTCTGTCTAGTTTTTATGTGAAGATATTTCCTTTTGCACCATAGGCCTCAAAGTGCTCAAAATGAACACTTGCATAATTTACCAAAAGAGCGTTTCAAAACTGCTCTGTCAAAAGAAATGTTCAACTCTGTTACCTGAATGCACACATCACAAACAATTTCCTGAGAATTCTTCTGTCTAGTTTTTATGTGAAGGTATATCCTTTTCCAACATAGGCCTCAAATCGCTCCAAATATCCACCTGCAGATTCTATAAAAAGACTGTTTCAAAACTGCTCTATCAAAGCAAAGGCTCAACTCTGTGAGTTGAATGCACACATCACAAAGCAGTTTCTGAGAATGCTTCTGTCTAGTTTTTATGTGAAGGTGATACTTCCTTTTCCACCATAGGCCTCAAATCGATCCAAATATCCACTTGCAGGTAACACCAAAATACTGTTTGAAAACTGGTGTCTGAAAAGGAAGGTTGAACTCTGTGAGTTGAACGCAGCCATCACAAAGCAGCTTCTGAGAATGCTTCTGTCTAGTTTTTATGTGAAGATATCCCATTTACAACGATTTTCTCAAAGAGCTCCAAATATCCACAAGCAGATTCTACAAAAGGTGTGTTTCAAAACTGCTCTATCAAAAGAAAGGTTCAACTATGTGAGTTGAATGCACACATCACAAAACTTTCTGAGAATGCTTCTGTCTAGTTTTTATGTGAAGATATTACCTTTTCCACCATAGGCTTCAAAGCGCTCAAAATGAACACTTGGAGATTCTACAAGAAGAGTGTTTCAAAACTGCTCCACTGAAGGAAGGGTTCAACCCTTTGAGTTGAATGCACACATAACAAAGAATTTTCTGGTAATACTTCTGCCTAGTTTTTTTCTGAAGTTAGCCCGTTTCCAAAGAATTCCTCAAAAAGGTTCATATATCCACAAGCAGATTGTATAAAAGAAGTGTTTCAAAACTGCTCTATCAAAAGAAAGGTTCCACTCTGTGAACTGAACACACATATCACAAGGGAGTTTCTGAGAATGCTTCTTTCTAGTTTTTTTGTGAAGCTATTTCCTTTTCCACCATAGGCCTCAAAGCTCTCCAAATGAACACTTGCAGATTTTACCAAAAGAGTGTTTCAAAACTGCTCTGTGAAAAGAAAGGTTCAACTCTGTTAGCTGAATGCACACATCACAAAGAAGTTCCTGAGAATGCTTCTGTCTAGTTTTTATGAGAAGATATATCCTTTTCCAACACAGGACACAAATCGCTCCAAATATCCACATGCAGTTTCTACAAAAAGACTGTTTCATAACTGCTCCGTTAAAGGAAGGGTTCAACTCCGTGAGGTGACTGCACACATCACAAAGCAGTTTCTGAGAATGCTTCTGCCAAGTTTTTAGGTGAAGATATTTCCTTTTCCACCATAGGCCTCATATCGCTCCAAATATCCACTCGAAGATACTACAAAAACACTGTTTCCAAACTGCTCTCTCAAAAGGAAGATTCAGCTCTGTGAGATGAATGCATACATCACAAAGCAGTTTCTGAGAATGCTTCTAGTTTGTATGTGAAGATATCCCGTGTACAACGAATTCCTCAAATAGCTCCAAATATCCACAAGCAGATTCTAGAAAGGACTGTTTCAAAACTGCTCTATCAAAAAAGAGGTTCAACGCTGTGAGTTGAATGCACACATCACAAAAATGTTTCTGAGAATGCTTCTGTCTAGTTTGCTTGTGAAGATATTACCTTTTCCACCATAAGATTGAAAGCGTTGCAAAATACCACTTGCAGATTCTACAAAAAGACTTTTTCAAAACAGCTCTATCAGAGGAAGGGTTCAATTCTGTGAGGTGAATGCACACATCACAAAGCAGTTTCTGAGAATGCTTCGGTCTAGTTTTTATGTGAAGGTATTTCCTTTTCCACCATCGGCTGCAAATCGCTCCAAATATGCACTTGCAGATACTAAAAAAACAGTGTTTCAAAACTGCTCTCTCAAAAGGAAGGTTCAACTCTGTGAGTTCAATACACACTTCACAAAGCAGCTTCTCAGAATGCTTCTGTCTATTTTATTTGTGAAGATATCCTGTGGAAAACCAATTCCTCAAAGGGCTTCAAATATCTACAAGCAGATCCTACAAAAGGAGTGTTTCAAAACTGCTTTATCAAAAGAGAGTTTCAACTCTGTGAGCTGAATGAACACATCACAAAAAAGTTTCTGAGAATGCTTCTGTCTAGTTTTTATGTGAAGCTATTTCCTTTTCCACCGTAGGCCTAAAAGTGCTCAAAATGAACACTTGCAGATTACACAGAAAGAAAGTTTCAAATCTGCTCTATCAAAAGAAAGTTTCAACTCTGTGAGTTGAATGCACCCATCACAAAGAACATTCTGAGAATGCTTTGGTCTAGTTTTTATATGAAGATACCCGTTTCCAACGAATTCTTCAGGAGTTCCAAATATACACAAGCAGATTCCACAAAAGGAATGTTTCAATACTGCTCTATCAAAAGACAGGTCCAGCTCTGTTAGTTGAATGCACACTTCTCAAAGAAGATCCTGGGAATGCTTCTGTCTAGTTTTTATGTGAAGATATTTCCTTTTCCACCAAAGGCTCCAAAGTGCTCCAAATGAACACTTGCAGATTCTACAAGAAGACTTTCAAAACGGCTCTATCAAAAGAAAGTTTCAACTCTGTGTGTTGAATGGATACATCACAAAGAACTTTCTGAGAATGCTTCTGTCTAGTTTTTATGTTAAGATATTTTTTTTTCCACCATAGGCCTCAAATCGCACCAAATATCCACTTGCAGATACTACAAAAACACAGCCTCAACACTGCTCTTTCAAAAGGGACGTTCAACCCTGTGAGTTGAATGCACAAATCACAAAGCGGTTTCTGAGAAAGCTGCCAGGTTGTATGTGAAGATATCCCGTTTACAACGAATTCCTCAAAGAGCTCCAAATATCCAGAAGCAGATTCTACAAAAGCAGTGTTTCAAAACAGCTCTATCAAAAGAAAAGTTCAACACTGTGAACTGAATGCACACATCACAAAAAAGTTCCTGAGAATACTTCTGTCTAGTTTTCATGTGAAGATATTTCTTTTTCACCATAGGCCTCAAATTGCTCCAAATATCCACTTGCAGATACTGCAAAAACACAGTTTCAAAACGGCTCTCTCAAAAGGAAGGTTCAACTCTGTGTGTTGAATGCACACCTCCCAAAGCGGTTTCTGAGAATACTTCTAGTTTATATGTGAAGATATCCCATTTAAAATGAATTCCTCAAAGAGCTCCTAATATCTGCAAGCAGATCCTAGAAAAGGACTGTTTCAAAACTGCTCTATCAAAAGAGAGGTTCAACTCTGTGAGTTGAATGCACACATCACAAAAAATTTTCGGAGAATGCTTCTGTCTAGTTTTTATGTGAAGATATTTCCTTTTATACCATAGGCTTCTCAGCGCTCATAATGAACACTTGCAGATTAAACAGAAAGAAAGTTTCAAATCTACTCTATCAAAAGAATGGTTGAACTCTGAGAGTTGAATGCACACATCACAAAGAACTTTCTTAGGATGCTTCTGTCTAGCTTTTATATGGCGTTTCCCGTTTCCAACGAATACCCCAAGATTTCCAAATATCCGCAAGCAGATTCCACAAAAGGAGTATTTCAATACTGCTCTATCAAAAGACAGGTTCAACTCTGTTAGCTGAATGCACACATCTCAAAGAAGATCCTGGGAATGCTTCTGTCTAGTTTTTATGTGATGATATTTCCTTTTCCACCATTTGCTTCAAAGCCCACCAAATGAACACTTGCAGATACTACAAAAAGACTGTTTCAAAACTGATCTAACAAAAGAAGGGTTCCACTCTGTGAGGTGAATGCACACATCACAAAGCAGTTTTTGAGAATGCTTCTGCCTTGTTTGTATGTGTAGATACCCCGCTTACAACGAATTACTCAAAGAGCTCCAAATATCCACAAGCAGATTCTACAAAAGGAGTGTTTCAAAACTGCCCTATGAAAAGAGAGTTTCAACTCTGTGAGTTGAATGCACACATCACAAAGCAGTTTCTGAGAATGCTTCTGTCTAGTTTTTATGTGGAGATATTTCCTTTTCCACCATAGGCCTCAAATAGCTACAAATATCCACTTGCAGATACTACAAAAACACAGTTTCAAAACTGCTCTCTCAAAAGGAAAGTTCAACTCTGTGAGTTGAATGCACACATCACAAAGTACTTTCTGAGAATGCTTCTGTCCAGTTTTTATATGAAGATTCCCTTTCCAACGAATACCCCAAATTTTCCAAATATCTACAAGCAGATACCACAAAAGGAATGTTTCAATACTGCTCTATCAAAAGACAGGTTCAACTCTGTTAGTTGAATGCACACATCTCAAAGAAGATCATGGGAATGCTTCTGTCTATTTTTTGTGAAGATATTTCCTTTTCCACCATAGGCTGCAAAGACCTCCAAATGAACACTTGCGGATACTACAAAAAGACTGTTTCAAACCTGCTCTCACAAGAGAAGGGTTCCAGTCTGTGAGGTGAATGCATACATCACAAAGCAGTTTTTGAGAAGGCTTCTGTCTAGTTTGTACGTGTAGATAGCCTGTTTACAACGAATTCCTCAAACAGCTCCAAATATCCACAAGCAGATTCTACAAAAGAAGTGTTTCAAAATTGCTCTATCAAAAGAAAGGTTCAACTCTGTGAATTGAATGCACACATCACAAAAGAGTTCCTGAGAATGGTTCTGTCTAGTTTTCATGTGAAGATATTTCCTTTTCCACCATAGGCCTCATATCGCTCGAAATATCCACTTGCAGATACTACAAAAACACTGTTTCCAAACTTCTCTCTCAAAAGGAAGTTTCAACTCTGTGAGTTGAATGCACACATCACAAAGCAGTTTCTGAGAATGCTTCTATTTTGTATGTGAAATTTTCCCCTTTTATAACGAATTCCTCAAAGAGCTCCAAATAGCCACAAGTGGATTCTAGAAAAGGACTGTTGCAAAACTACTCTATCAAAAGAGAGGTTCAACTCTTTGAGTTGAATGCACACATCACAAAAAAGTTTCTGAGAATGCTTCTGTCTAGTTTTTATGTGAAGATATATGCTTCTCCACCATAGGCTTCAAAGCGCTGCAAAAGAACACTTGCAGATTCTACAAAAAGACTGTTTCAAAACTGCTCTATCAAAAGGGAGGTTCAATTCTGTGAGTTTAATCCTCACATCACAAAAAAGTTTCTGAGAATGCTTCTGTCTAGTTTGTATTTGAAGATATTTCCTTTGCCACCATAGGCCTCAAAGCGCTCAAAATGAACACTTGCACATTATACAGAAAGAAAGTTTCAAATCTGCTCTATCAAAGAAAGGTTCAACTCTGTGAGTTGAATGCCCACATCAAAAAGAACTTTCTGATAATACATCTGTCTAGTTTTTATATGAAGATACCCGTTTCCAACGAATTCCCCAATAGTTCCAAATATCCAGAAGCAGATTCCACAAAAGGAGTGTTTCAATACTGCTCTATCAAAAAACAGGTTCAACTCCGTTAGTTGAATGCACATATCTCAAAGAAGATCCTGGGAATGCTTATGTCTGGTTTTTATATGAAGATATTTCCTTTTCCACTATAGGCTTCAAAGCGCTCCAAATATCCACTTGCAGATACAACAAAAACACATTTTCAAAACTGCTCTCTCAAAAGGAAGGTTCAAATCTGTGAGTTGAATGCACACACCACAAAGTGGTTTCTGAGAATACTTCTAGTTTATATGTGAAGATATCCCGTTTAAAACGAATTCCTCTTAGAGCTCCAAATATCCACATGCAGATTCTACAAAAGGAGTGTTTCAAAACTGCTCTATCAAAAGAGAGGTTCAACTCTGAGTTGAATGCACACATCAGAGTAAATTTTCTGAGAATGCTTCTGTGTAGTTTTTATGTGAAGATATTTAATTTTCAACCATAGGCCGCAAATCACTCCAAATATCCACTTGCAGACACTGCAAAAACTCTGTTTCAAAACTGCTCTCTCAAAAGGAAGGTTAAACTCTGTGAGTTGAATGCACACATCACAAAGCAGTTTCTGAGAATTCATCCAGTTTGTATGTGAAGATATCCCGTTTACAACGAATTCCTCAAAGAGCCTCAAATATCCACAAGCAGAATCTACAAAAGCAGTGTTTCAAAATTGCTCTATCAAAAGAGAGGTTCAACTATGTGAGCTGAATACACACAACACAAAAGGTTTCTGAGAATGCTTCTGTCTAGTTTTCATGTGAAGATATTCCCTTTTCAACAATAGGCCTCAAAGCGCTCAAAATGAATACTTGCAGATTTTACAGAAAGGAAGTTTCACATCTGCTCAATCAAAAGAAAGGTTCAACTCTGTGAGTTGAAAGCATACATCACAAGGAACTTTCTGAGAATGCTTCTGTCTAGTTTTTATATGAAGATACCCGTTTCCAAAGATTTCCCCAAAGTTCCAAATATCCATAAGCAGATTCCACAAAAGGAGTGTTTCAATACTGCTCTATCAAAAGACAGGTTCAACTCTGTTAGTTGAATGCACACAATTCAAAGAAGATCCTGGGAGTGCTTCTGTCTAGTTTTTATGTGAAGATATTTCCTTTTCCACCATAGGCTTCAAAGACCTCTAAATAAACACTTGTAGGTACTACAAAAACACTGTTGCAAAACTGCTTTCATAAAAGAAGGGTTCCAATCTGTGAGGGGAATGCAGACATCACAAAGCAGTTTTTGAGAAGGCTTCTGTCTAGTTTGTATGTGTAGATATCCTGTTTACAACGAATTCCAGTTAGAGCTCCAAATATCCACAAGCAGATTCTACAAAAGCATCGTTTCAAAATTTCTCTATCAAAAGAAAGGTTCATCTATGTGAATTGAGTGCACACATCACAAAAAAGTTTCTGAGAATGCTTCTGTCTAGTTTTCATGTGAAGATATTTCCTTTTCCACCATAGTCCTCAAAGTGATCCAAATGAACACTTGCAGATTATACAGAAAGAATGTTTCAAATCTGCTCTATCAAAAGAAAGGTTCATCTCTGTGAGTTGAATGCACACATCACAAAGAACTTTCTGAGAATACTTCTGCCTAGATTTTTTCTGAACATAACCCGTTTCCCATGAATTCTTCAAAAACTGTCACATATCCACAAGCAGATTCTACAAAAGAAGTGTTTCAAAACTGCTCTATCAAAGAAAGTTTCCTCTAGGTGAATTGAACACACACATCACAAAGGAGTTTCTGAGAATGCTTCTGTCTAGTTTTTATGTGAAGATATTTCCTTTTCCACCACAGGCCTCAAAGCGCTCAAAATGACCACTTGCAGATTATACAGAAAGTATGTTTCAAATCTGCTCTATCAAAAGAAGGGTTCAACTCTATCAGTTGAATGCACAAATCACAAAGAACTTTCTGAAAATGCTTCTGTCTATTTTTTATATGAAGATACCCATTTCCAACGAATTCCCAAAGTGTTCCAAATATCCCCAAGCAGATTCCCCAAAAGGAGTGTTTCAATACTGCTCTATCAAAAGACAGGTTCAACTCTGTTAGTTAAATGCACACATCTCAAAGAAGATCCTGGGATTGCTTTTGTGTAGTTTTTATGTGACGATATTTCCTTTTCCACCGTAGGCTTCAAAGCACTACAAATGAACACTTGTAGATACTACAAAAAGACTGTTTTAAAACTACTCTAACAAAAGAAGGGTTCCACTCTGTGAGGTGAAGGCACATGTCACAAAGCAGTTTCTGAGAATGCTTCTGTCTAGTTTGTATGTGTAGATAGCCCGTTTCCAAAGAATTGCTCAAAAAGTTTCATATATCAACAAGCAGATTTTACAAAATAAGTGATTCAAAACTGCTCTATCAAAAGAAAGGTTCCACTCTGTTAATTAAACAAACCCATCACAATGGAGTTTCTGAGAATGCTTCTGTCTAGTTTTGATGTGAAGATATTTCCTTTTGCAACATAGGCCTCAAAGCTCCAGATGAACACTTGCAGATTTTACCAAAAGGGTGTTACAAAACTACTCTGTGAAAAGAAAGGATCAACTCTGTTAGCTGAATGCACAAATCACAAAGAAGTTCCTGAGAATGCTTCTGTCTTATTTTTATGTGAAGATATTTCCTTTTCCATCATAGGCCTCTAGTCGCTCCAAATATCCACTTACTGTTAACACCAAAAGACAGTTTCAAAACTGCTCTCTGAAAAGGAACGTTCAACACTGTGAGTTGAATGCACTCATCATACAGCAGATTCTGAGAATGCTTCTATCAAGTTTGTATGTGAAGATATCCCGTTTACAATGAATTCCTCAAAGACCTCCAAATATCCACAAGCAGATTCTACAAAAGAAGTGTTTCAATACTGCTCTATCAAAAGAAAGGTTCCACTCCGTGAATTGAACGCACACATCACCAAGGAGTTTCTGAGAATGCTTCTGTCTAGTTTTTATGTGAAAATAATTCCTTTTCCAACATACGCCTCAAAGCTCTCCAAATGAACACTTGCAGATTTTACCAAAAGAGTGTTTCAAAACTGCTCTGTGAAAAGAAAGGTTCAACTCTGTTAGCTGAATGCACACAACACAAAGAAGTTCCTGAGAATGCTACTGTCTAGTTTTTAAGTGAAGTTACATCCTTTTCCAACATAGGCCTCAAATCGCTCAAAATATCCTCTTGCACATACTACAAAAACACTGTTTCAAAACTGGCCTATCAAAAGGAAGGTTCAATTCTGTGAGTTGAATGCACACTTCACAAAGCAGTTTCTGAGAATGCTTCTAGTTTGTATGTGAAGTTATCCCGTTTTTTAACCAATTCCTCAAAGAGCTACAAATATCCACAAGCAGATTCTACAAAAGGTGTGTTTCAAAACTGCTCTATCAAAAGAAAGCTTCATCTCTGTGAGTTGAATGCACACATCACAAAAAAATTTCTGAGAATGCTTCTGTCTAGTTTTTATATGAAGATCTTTCCTTTTCCACCACAGACCTCAAAGCACTCAAAATGAACACTTGCAGATTATACAGAAAGAAAGTTTCAAATCTGCTCGAGGAAAAGAACGGTTCAACTCTGTGAGTTGAATGCACACATCATAAAGAACTTTCTGAGAAGGCTTCTGTCTAGTTTTTTTAAGAAGATAACCGTTTCCAACAATTACCCCAAGAGTTCGAAATATCCAGAAGCCGATTCCACAAAAGGAGTGTTTCAATAGTGCTCTATCAAAAGAAAGGTTCAACCATGTGAGTTGAATGCACACATCACAAAAAAGTTTCTCAGAATGTTTCTGTCTAGTTTTTATGTGAAGATATTACCTTTTCCACCATAGCCTTCAAAGCCCTCCAAATGAACACTTATAGATACTACAAAAAGACTGTTTCAAAACTGCTCCCTCAAAGAAAGCGTTCAACTCTGTGAATTGAATGCTCACATCACAAAGCAGTTTCTGAGAATGCTTCTGTCTAGTTTTTATGTGAAGATATTACCTTTTCCATCATAGTCCTCAAATCTCTCCAAATATCCACTTGCGAATACTACAAAAACACTTTTTCAAAACAACTCTCTCAAAAGGAAGGTTCAACTCTGTGAGTTGAATGCACAAATCATAAAGCAGTTACTGAGAATGCTTCCAGTTTGTACATGAAGATATCCCGTTTACAACGAATTCCTCAAAGAGCTCCAAATATCCTCAAGCAGATTATACAAAAGGAGTGTTTCAAAACTGTTTTATCAAAAGACAGGTTCAACTCTGTGAGTTGAACGCACACATCACAAAATAGTTTCTGACAATGCTTCTGTCTAGTTTTTATGTGAAGATATTTCCTTTTCCTCCATAGGCCTCAAAGCTCTCCAAATGAACACTTGCAAATTCTACAAAAAAAACTGTTTCAAAACTGCTCCATCAAAGGAATGGTTCAATGCTGTGAGTTGAATGCACACATCACAAAGCACTTTCTGAGAATGCTTCTGTCTAGTTTTTGTGTGAAGATATTTCCTTTTCCACCATAGGCCTCAAATCGCTCCAAATATCCACTTGCAGACACAACAAAAAAACTGTTTCAAAACTGCTCTATCAAAAGGAAGGATCAACTCTGTGAGGTGAATGTGCACTTCACTAAGCTGTTTCTGAGAATGCTTCTAGTTTGTATGTGAAGATATCTCGTTTTTTAACGAATTCCTCGAAGAGCTCCAAATATCTACAAGCAGATTCTACAAAAGGGAGTGTTTCAAAACTGCTCTATCAAAAGAGAGACTCAACTCTGTGCGTTGAATGCACACATCACAAAAAATTTTCTGAGAATTCTTCTGTCTAGTTTTTATTTGAAGATATTTCCTTTGCCACCGTAGGCCTCAAAGCGCTCAAAATGAAGTCTTGCAGATTATACCAAAATAACGTTTCAAATCTGCTCTATCAAAAGTACAGTTCAACTCTGTGAGTTGAATGCACAGATCACAAAGAACTTTCTGAGAATGCTTCTGTCTAGTTTTTATAAGAAGATACCCGTTTCCAACGAATTCCCAAAGAGTTCCAAATATCCACAAGCAGATTCTATAAAAGGAGTGTTTCAATACTGCTCTATCACAAGACCGGTTCAACTCTGTTAGTTGAATGCACACATCTGAAAAAAGATCCTGGGAATGCTTTTGGCTAGTTTTTATGTGAAGATATTTCCTTTTAACAGGCAGGCTTCAAAGCGCTGCAAGTGAACACTTGCAGATACTTCACAAAGACTGTTTCGAAACTTCTCTAACAAAAGAAGAGTTCCACTCTGTGAGGTGAATGCACATATCACAAAGCAGTTTCTGAGAATGCTTCTGTCTAGTTTGTATGTGTAGATTGCCCAATTCCAACGAATTCCTCAAAAAGTTTCAAATATCCACAAGCAGATACTACAAAAGAATTGTTTCAAAACTGCTCTATCAAAAGAAAGAGTTCACTCTGTGAATTGAACACACACAACACAAAGGAGTTTCTGAGAATGCTTCTGTCTAATTTTGATGTGAAGATATTTCCTTTTCCAACATAGGCCTCAAAGCTCTCCAAATGAATACTTGCAGATTTTTCCAAAAGAGTGTTTCAAAACTGCTCTGTGAAAAGAAAGGTTCAACTCGGTTAACTGAATGCACACATAACAAAAAAGTTCCTGAGAATGCTTCTGTCTAGTTTTTATGTGAAGATATATCCTTTTCCAACATAGGCCTCAAGTCGCTCCAAATATCCACTTGCAGTTAACACCAAAAGACTGTTCCAAAACTGCTCTCTGAAAAGAAATGTTCAACTCTGTGAGTTGATCGCACTCATCACATAGCAGATTCTGAGAATGCCTCTGTCTAGTTGTATGTGAAGATATCCAGTTTACAACGAATTCCTCACAGAGCTCCAAATATCCACAAGCAGATTCTACAAAAGGTCTGTTTCAAAACTGCTCTATCAAAAGGAAGGTTCAACTCTGTTGAATGCACACTTCACAGAGCAGTTTCTGAGAATGCTTCTAGTTTAGTTTGTATGTGAAGATATCCCGTTTTTTAACGAATTCCTCAAAGAGCTCCAAATATCCACAAGAGGATTCTACAAAAGGGAGTGTTTCAAAACTGCTCTATAAAAATAGACGCTCAAATCTGTGAGTTGAATGCACAGATCACAAAAAAATTTTCTGAGAAAGCTTCTGTCTAGTTTTTTTATGAAGATACCCGTTTCCAACGAATTCCCCAAGAGTTCAAAATATCCACAAGCAGATTCTACAAAAGGAGTGTTTCAATACTGCTCTATCAAAAGACAGGTTCAACTCTGTTAGTTGAATGCACACATCTGAAAAAAGATCCTGGGTATGCTTTTGGCTAGTTTTTATGTGACGACATTTCCTTTTCCACCGTAGGCTTCAAAGCACTACAAATGAACATTTGCAGATACTACAAAAAGACTGTTTCAAAACTGCTCTAACAAAAGTAGGGTTCCACTCTGTGAGGTGAATACACACATCGCAAAGCAGTTTCTGAGAATGCTTCTGTCTAGTTTTTATGTGTAGATTGCCCGATTCCAACGAATTCCTCAAAAAGTTTCATATATTCACAAGCAGATTCTACAAAAGAAGTGTTTCAAAACTGCTTTATCAAAAGAAAAGTTCCACTCTGTGAATTGAACACACACATCACAAAGGAGTTTCTGAGAATGCCTCTGTCTTGTTTTGATGTGAAAATATTTCCATTTAGAACAAAGGCCTCAAAGCTCTCCAAATGAACACTTGCATATTTTACCAAAACAGTGTTTCAAAACTGCTCTGTGAAAAGAAAGGTTCAACTCTGTTAGCTGAATGCACACATCACAAAGAAGTTCCTGAGAATGCTTCTGTCTAGTTTTTATGTGAAGATTGTTATTTTTCCACAATAGGCCTCAAAGCGATCAAAACGAACACTTGCAGATCATACAGAAAGAAAGTTTCCAATCTGCACTATCAAAAGAAAGTTTCAACTCTGTGAGTTGAATGCACACATCACAAAGAACTTTCTGCGAATACTTCTCTCTAGTTTTTAAATGAAGATACCCGTTACCAACGAATTCACCAAGTGTTCCAAATATCCACAAGCAGATTTCACAGAAGGAGTGTTTCAATACTGCTCTATCAAAAGACAGGTTCAACTCTGTTTTAGTTGAATGCACATATATCAAAGAAGATCCTGAAAATGCTTCTGTCTAGTTTTTATGTGAAGATATTTCCTTTTCCATCACAGGCTTCAACGCGTTCCAAATGAACACTTTCAGATACTACAAAAAGACTGTATCAAAACTGCTCTAACAAAAGAAGGGTTCCACTCTGTGAGGTGAATGCACACATCACAAAGCAGTTTCTATGAATGCTTCTAGTTTGTATGTGAAGATATCCCTTTTAAAATGAATTCCTCAAAGAGCTCCAAATATCTACAAGCAGATTCTACAAAAGGAGTGTTTCAAATCTGCTCTATCAAAAGAAAGCTTCATCTCTGTGAGTTGAATGCACACATCACAAAGCAGTTTCTGAGAATGCTTCTGTCTAGTTTGTATGTGTAGATATCCCGTTTACAAAGAATTCCTCAAAGAGTTCCAAATTTCCACAAGCAGATTCTACAAAGCAGTGTGTCAAAATTGCTCTATCAATAGAGAGGTTCAACTCTGTGAGTTGAAAGCACACATCACAAAATACTTTCTGAGAATGCTCCTGTCTAGTTTTTATGTGAAGATATTTCCTTTTCCACCATAGGCTTCCAAACGCTCCAAATGAACATTTGCAGATTCTACAAAAAGACTGTTTCAAAACCGCTCCATCAAAGGAAGGGTTCAACTCTGTGAGATGAATGCACATATCAGAAAGCAGTTTCTGAGAATGCTTCCAGTTTGTATGTGAAGATATCCCGTTTACAACGAATTCCTCAAAGAGCTCCAAATATTCACAAGCATATTCTACAAAAGGAGTGTTTCAAAAATGCTCTATCAAAAGAGAGGTTCAACTCTGTGAGCTGAATGCTCACATCACAAAAAAGTTTCTGAGAGTGCTTCAGTCTAGTTTTTATGTGAAGATATTTCCTTTTCCACCTTAGGTCTCAAATCGCTCAAAATGAACACTTGCAGATTATACAGAAAGAAAGATTCAAATCTGCTCTATGAAAAGAAAGGTTCAACTCTGTGAGTTAAATGCACACATCACAAAGAACTTTCTGAGAATGCTTCTGTCTAGTTTTTATATGAAGATACCCGTTTCCAACGAATTCCCCAAGAGTTCCAAATATCCACTAGCAGATTCAACAAAAGGAACGTTTCAATACTTCTCTATGAAAAGACAGGTTCAACTCTGTTAGTTGAATGCACACATCTCAAAAAAGATCCTGGGAATGCATCTGTCTAGTATTTATGTGAAGATATTTCCTTTTCCACCATAGGCTTCAAAGCGCTCCAAATGAACACTTGCATATACTACAAAAGACTGTTTCAAAACTGCTCTAATAAAAGAAGGGTTCCACTCTGGGGGGTGAATGCACACATCACAAAGCAGTTTCTGAGAATGCTTCTGTCTAGTTTGTATGTGTAGATATTCCATTTACAACGAATTCCTCAAAGAGCTCCAAATATCCACAAGCAGATTCTACAAAAGCAGTGTTTCAAAACTGCTTTATCAAAAGAAAAGTTCAACTCTGTGAATTGAATGCACACATCACAAAATGTTTCTGAGAATGCTTCTGTGTATTTTTAATGTGAAGATATTTCCTTATCCACCATTGGCCTCAAAGCTCTCCAAGTGAACAATTGCAGATTTTACCAAAAGAGTTTTTCAAAACTGCACTATCAAAAAAAAAGTTTCAACTCTGTGAGTTGAATGCACACATCACAAAGAACTTTCTGAGAATACTTCTGCCTAGTTTTTTTTGAATAGAGCCCTTTTCCAAAGAATTCCTCAAAAAGTTTCATATATCCACAAGCAGATTCTACAAAAGAAGTTTTCCAAAACTATTCTATCAAAAGAAAGGTTCCACTCTGTGAATTGAACACACACATCACAAAGGAGTTTCTGAGAATGCTTCTGTCTAGTTTTTACGTGAAGATATTTCCTTTTCACCATAGGCTTCTGTCTAGTTTTTACGTGAAGATATTTCCTTTTCACCATAGGCCTCAAAGCTCTCCAAATGAACCCTTGCAGAATTACCAAAAGAGTTTCTCAAAATCGCTGTGTCCAAAGAAAGGCTCAACTCTGTTAGATGAATGCACACATCACAGAGAAGTTCCTGAGAATGCTTCTGTCTAGTTTTTATGTGAAGATAGATATATCGTTTTCCAACAGAGGCCTCAAATCACTAAAAATATCCACTTGCAGATTCTAGAAAAAGACTGTTTCAAAACTGCTCTATCAAAACAAAAGTTCCACTATGTGAATTGAACACAGACGTCACAAAGGTGTTTCTGAAAATGCTTCTGTCTAGGTTTTATGTGAAGATATTTTGTTTTCCATCATAGGCCTCAAAGCTCTCAAAATGAACACTTGCAGATGTTACCAAAAGAATGTTTCAAAACTGCTCTGTCAAAAGAAAGGTTCAACTCTGTTAGCTGAATGCACACATCACAAGGATGTTTCTGAGTATACTCCTGTCTAGTTTTTATTTGAAGATATTACTTTTTACACAGTAGGCCTCAAAGCACTCCAAATATCCACTTGCAGATTCTATAAAAAGAGTGTTTCCAAACTGCTCTATCAAAAGAAATGTTCAAGTCTGTGAGTTGAATGCACACATCACAAAGCAGTTTCTGAGAAAGCTACTGTCTAGTTTTTAAGTGAGGATATTTCCTTTTCCACCATAGGCCTCAAATCGCTCCAAATATCCATTTGCAGTTAACACCAAATGACTGTTTCAAAACTGCTCTCTGAAAAGGGAGGTTGAACTCTGTGATTTCAATGCACCCATCACAAAGCAGCTTCTGAGAATGCTTCTGTCCAGGTTGTATTTGAAGATATCCCATTTACAATGAATTTCTCAAAGAGCTCCAAATATCCAGAAGCAGATACTAGAAAAGGAGTGTTTCAAAACTGCTCTATCAAAAGACAGGTTCAACTCTGTTAGTTGAATGAAAACATCACAAAAAAGTTTCTGAGAGTGCTTCTGTCTAGTTTTTATGTGAAGATATACCCTTTTCCACCATAGGCTTCAAAGTGCTGCAAATGCACACTTGCAGATGATACAGCAAGAAAGTTTCAAATCTGCTCTATCAAAAGAAATGTTCAGCTCTGTGAGTTGAATGCACACATCACAAAGAACTTTCTGAGAACGCTTCTGTCTATGTTGTATATGAAGATACCTGTTTCCAACGAATTCCCCAAGAGTTCCAAATATCCACAAGCAGATTCCACAAAAGGAGTGCTTCAATACTGCTCTATCAAAAGACAGGTTCAACTCTGTGAGTTGAATGCACACATCTCAAAGCAGATCCTGGGAATGCTTCTGTCTAGTTTTTATGTGAAGATATTTCCTTTTCCACCATAGGCTTCAAAGAGCTCCAAATGAACACTTGGAGATACTACAAAAAAACCGTTTCAACACTGCTCTGACAAAAGAGGGGTTCCACTCTCTGAGGTGAATGCACACATCACAAGGTAGTTTCTGAGAATGCTTCTGTCTAGTTTATATGTGTAGATATCCCGTTTACAACGAATTCCTCTAAGAGTTTCAATTATCCGCAAGCAGATTCTACAAAAGCAGTGTTTCAAAACTGCTCTATGAAAAGAAAGGTTCAACTCTGTGAATTGAATGCACATATCACAAAAATGTTTCTGAGAATGCTTCTGTCTAGTTTTCATGTGAAGATATTTCCTTTTCCACCATAGACCTCAAAGCGCTAAAAACGCTCACTTGCAGATAATACAAAAAGAATGTCTCAAATCTGCTCTATCAAAAGAAAGGTTCAATTCTGTGAGTTGAATTCACACATCACAAAGGACTTTCTGAGAATACTTCTGCCTAGTTTTTTTTCTGAGCATAGCCCGTTTCCAACGAATTCCTCAGAAAGTTTCATATATGCACAAGCAGATTCTACAAAAGAAGTGTTTAAAAAATGCTCTATCAAAGAATGGTTCCACTATGTGAATTGCACACAGACATCACAAAGGAGTTTCTGAGTATGCTTCTGTCTAGTTTTTATGTGAAGATATTCCCTTTTCCACCACAGGCCTCAAAGCTATCCAAATGAATACTTGCAGATTTGACCAAAAGAGTGTTTCAAAACAGCTCTGTCAAAACAAAGATTCAAATCCGTTAGCTGAATGCACACATCACAAAGAAGTTCCTAAGTATGCTTCTGTCTAGTTTTTATGTTAAGATATATTCTTTTTCAAAAGAGGCCTCAAATCGCTCCAAATATCCACTTGCAGATTCTACAAAAAGACTGTTTCCAAACTGCTCTATAAAAAGAAAGGATCAACTCTGTGAGTTGAATGCACACATTACAAAGCAGTTTCAGAGAATGCTTCTGTCTTGTTTTTATGTGAAGTTATTTCCTTTTCCACCATAGGCCTGACATCGTTCCAAATATCCATTTGCAGGTAACACCAAAAGACTGTTTCAAAACTGCTCTCTGAAAAGGAAGGTTCAACTCTTTGAGTTGAACGCACTCATCATATAGCAGATTCTGAGAATGCTTCTGTCTAGTTTTTATGTGAAGATACCCCGTTTACAACGAATTCCTCAAGAGTTCCAAATACCCACAGCAGACTCTACAAATGTGTGTTTCAAAACTGTTCTATCAAAAGAAAAGTACAACTCTGTGAGTTGAATGCACACATCACAGAAAAGTTTCTGAGAATGCTTCTGTCTAGTTTTTATGTGAAGATATTACCTTTTCCACCATAGGCTTCAAAGCGCTTCAAATGAACACTTGCAGATTCTACAAAAAGACTGTTTCAAAACTGCTACGTCAAAGGAAGGGTTTAACTCTGTGAGTTGAATGCACACATTACAAAGCAGTTTCTGAGAATGCTTCTGTCTAGTTTTTATGGGAAGATATTTCCTTTTCCATCATAGGTCTCAAATCGCGCCAAATATCCACTTGCAGATACTACAAAAACAATGTTTCAAAACTGCTCTCTCTCTTAAAAAGAAGGCTCATCTCTGTGAGTTGAATGCACACATCACAAAATGTTTCTGAGAATGCTTCTGTCTAGCTTTTATGTGAAGATATTACCATTTCCACCATAGGATTCAAAGAGCTCCAAGTGAACACTTGCAGAGTCTACAAAAACACTGTTTCAATAGTGCTCCATCAAAGAAGGGTTCGACTCTGTGAGTTGAATGCACACATAACAAAGCAGCTTCTGAGAATGCTTCTGTCTAGTTTTTATGTGAAGATATTTCCTTTTCCACAACAGGCCTCAAATCCTCCAAATATACACTTGCAGATATTACAAAAAGACTGTTTCAAATCTGCTCTCTCAAAAGGAAGGTTCAACTCTGTGAGTTGAATGCACACATCACAAAGAAGTTTCTGAGAATGCTTCTAGTTTGTATGTGAAGATATCCTGTTTAAAACGAATTCCTCAAAGAGCTCCAAATATCCACAAGCACATTCTACAAAAGGAGTGTTTCAAAACTGATCTATCAAAAGAGAGGTTCAACTCTGTGAGCAGAATGCACACATCACAAAAAAGTTTCTGAGAATGCTTCTGTCTAGTTTTTAAGTGAAGATATTACCTTTTTCACCACAGGCTTCAAAGCGCACCAAATGAACACTTGCAGATTCTACAAAAAGACTGTTTCAAAACTGCTCTATCAAAAGAAAGGCACAACTCTGTGAGTTGAATGCACAGATCAGAAGAACTTTTTGAGAATACATCTGCCTAGTTTTTTTCTGAAGATATCCCGTTTCCTACGAATTCCTCAAAAAGTTTCATATACACACAAGCAGATTCTACAAAAGAAGTGTTTCAAAACTGCTCTATCAAAAGAAACGTTCCACTCTGTGAATTGAACACACACACCACAAAGGAGTTTCTGATAATGCTTCTGTCTAGTTTTTATGAGAAGATATTTCCTTTTGCACTATAGTCCTCAAAGTTCTCCAAATGAACACTTGCAGATTTTACCAAAAGAGTGTTTCAGAACTGCTCTATCAAAAGAAAAGCTCAACTCTGTGAGCTGAATGCACACATCATCAAGCAGTTTCTCTGAATGCTTCTGTCTGGTTTTTATGTGAAGATATTTCATTTTCCACCATAGGCCTCAAATTGCTCCAAATATCCACTTGCAGGTAACACCAAAAGACTGTTTCAAAACTACTCTCTGGAAAGGAAAGTTGAACTCTGTGAGTTGAACGCACACATCACAAAGCAGCTTCGGAGAATGCTTCTGTCTGTCTAGTTTGTATGTGAAGATATCCCGTTTAAAACGAATTCCTCAAAGAGCTCCAAATATACAGAAGCAGATTCTACAAAAGGTGTGTTTCAAAACTGCTCTATCAAAAGAAAGGCTCAACTATGTGACTTGAATGCAAACATCACGAAAATGATTCTGAGAATGCTTCTGTCTAGTTTTTATGTGAACATATTTCCTTTTCCATCACAGGCTTCAAAGTGCTCCAAATGAACACATGCAGATTCGACAAAAAGACTGTTTCAAATCTGCTCCATCAAAGGAAGGATTCAACTCTGTGAGTTGAATGCACACATCACAAAGCAGTTTCTGAGAATGCTTCTGTCTAGTTTTCATGTGAAGGTATTTCCTTTTCCACCATAGGCCTCAAATCGCTCCAAATATCCACTTGCAGGAAACATCAAAATAGAGTTTCAAAATTGCTTTCTGAAGAGGAAGGTTGAACTCTGTGAGTTGAACGCACACATCACAAAGCAGCTTTGGAGAATGCTTCTGTCTAGTTTGTATGTGTAGATATCTCTTTTACAACGAATTCCTCAAAGAGCTCCAAATATCCACAAGCAGATTCTACAAAAGCAGTGGTTCAAAACTTCTCTATCAAAAGAACGGTTCAACTCTGCGAATTCAATGCACACATCACAAAAAGTTTCTGAGAATGCTTCTGTCTAGTTTTCATATGAAGATAATTCCTTTTCCACCATAGCCCTCAAAGCGCACCAAATGACCACTTGCAGATTACACAGAAAGAATGTTTCTAATCTGCTCTACCAAGAGAAAGGTTCAATTCTGTGAGTTGAATGCTCACATCACAAAGTATTTTCTCAGAATACTTCGGCCTAGTATTTTTCTGAAGACAGCCCGTTTCCAACGGATTCCTCAAAAAGTTTCATATACAAAAAACCAGATTTTACAAAAGAAGTATTTCAAAACTGCTCTATCAAAAGAAAGGTTCCACTCTGTGAATTGAACTCACACATCACAAAGGAGTTTCTTAGAATGCTTCTCTCTAATATTTATGTGAAGTTACTTCCTTTTCCACCATAGGCCTCAAATTGCTCCAAATATCCACTTGCAGGTAACACCAAAAGAGTGTTTCAAAACTGCTCTCTGAAAAGGAAGGTTGAACTATGTGAGTTGAACGCACACATCACAAAGCAGCTTCTGAGAATGCTTCTGTCTAGTTTGTATGTGAAGATATCCCTTTTACAATGAATTCCTCAAAGAGCTCCAAATATCCACAAGCAGATTCTACAAAAGCAGTGTTTCAACACTGTTCCATCAAAAGAAAGGTTCAACTCCATGAATTGAATGCACACATCACAGAAAAGTTTCTGAGAATGTTTCTGTTTAGTTTTCATGTGAAGATATTCCCTTTTCAACAATAGGCCTCATAGCGATCAAAATGAATACTTGCAGATTATACAGAAAGGAAGTTTCACATCTGCTCTACCAAAAGAAAGGTTCAACTCTGTGAGTTGAAAGCATACATCACAAAGAACTTTCTGAGAATGCTTCTGTCTAGTTTTTATATGAAGATACCCGTTTCCAACGATTTCCCCTAAGTTCCAAATATCCACAAGCTGATTAAACAAAAGGAGTGTTTCAATACTGCTCTATAGAAAGACAAGTTCAACTCTTCTATTTGAATGCACAGATCTCAAAGAAGATCCTGGGAATGCTTCTGTCTAGTTTTTATGTGAAGATATTTCCTTTTCCACCATAGGCTTCAAAGCACTCCAAATGAACACTTGCAGATACTACAAAAAGACTGTTTCATCACTGCTCTAACAAAAGAAGTGTTCCACTCTGTGAGGTGAATGCACACATCTCAAAGCAGTTTCTGAGAATTCTTCTGTCTACTTTGTATGTGTAGATATCACGTTTACAACGAATTCCTCAAAGACCTCCAAATACCCACAAGCAGATTCTTTAAAAGCGGTGCTTCAAAACTGCTCTATCAAAAGAAAGATTCAAATCTGTGAATTGAGTGCACACATCACAAAAAAGTTTCTGAGAATGCTTCTGTCTAGTTTTCATGTGAAGATAATTCCTTCTCCACCATATGCCTCAAAGCGCTCCTAATGAACACTTGCAGATTATACAGAATGTTTCAAATCTGCTCTACCAAAAGAAAGGTTCAACTCTGTGAGTTTAATGCACACACCACAAAGAAGTTTCTGAGAATACTTCTGCCTAGGTTTTTTCTGAAGATAGCCCGTTTCCAATGAATTCCTGAAAAAGTTTCATATATCCACAAGCAGATTCTACAAAAGAAGTGTTTCAAAACTGCTCTATCAAATGAAGGGTTCCACTCTGTGAAGTCAACACAGATATCACAAAGGGGTTTCTGAGAATGCTTCTGTCTTGTTTTTATGTGAAGATATTTCCTTTTCCACCGTAGGCATCAAAACTCTCCAAATGAACACTTGCAGATTTTACCAAAAGAGTGTTTCAAAACTGCTCTGTCAAAAGAAAGGTTCAACTCTGTTAGCTGAATGCACATATCACAAAGAAGTTCCTGAGAATGCTTCTGTCTAGTTTTATGTGAAGATATATCCTTTTCCAACAAAGGCTTCAGATCGCTCCAAATATCCACTTGCAGATTCTACAAAATGACTGTTTGAAGCTCCTCTATCAAAAGAAAGGATCAACTCTGTGAGTTGAATGCACACATCACAAAGCAGTTTCTGAGAATGCTTCTGTCTAGTTTTTATGTGAAGTTATTTCCTTTTCCACCATAGGCCTCAAATTGCTCCAAATATCCACTTGCAGGTAAAACCAGAAGACTTTTTCAAAACTGCTCTCTGAAAAGAAAGGTTGAACTCTTTGAGTTGAACACACACATCACAAAGCAGCTTCTGAGAATGCTTATGTCTAGTTTGTATGTGAAGATATCCCTTTTAAAACGAATTCCTCAAAGAGCTCCAGATACCCACAAGCAGATTCTAGAAAAGATGTGTTTAAAACTGCTCTCTCAAAAGAAAGGTTCAACTATGTGAGTTGAATGCACACATCACAAAAAAGTTTCTGAGAATGCTTCTGTGTAGTTTTTATGTGAACATATTTCCTTTTCCACCACAGGCTTCAAAGCGCTCCAAATGAACTCTTGCAGATTCTACGAAAAGACTGTTTGAAATCTACTCCATCAAAGGAAGGGTTCAGCTCTGTGAGTTGAAGGCACACATCACAACGCAGTTTCTGAGAATGCTTCTGTCTAGTTTTTTGTGAAGATATTTCCTTTTACACCATAGGCCGCAAATCGCTCCAAATATGCACTTGCAGGTAACATCAAAAGACAGTTTCAAAACTGTTCTCTGAAAAGGAAGGTTGAACTCTGTGAGTTGAACGCACACATCACAAAGTAGCTTCTGAAAATGCTTCTGTCTAATTTGTATGTGTAGATATCCCATTTACAGCGAATTCCTCAAAGAGCTCACACATCTCAAAGAAGATCCTGGGAATGTTTGTCTAATTTTTATGTGAAAATATTTCCTTTTCCACCATAGGCTTAAAAGCACTCCAAATGAACACTTGCAGATACTACAAAAAGACTGTTTCAACACTGCCCTAATAAAGGAAGGGTTCCACTCTATGAGGTGAATGCACACATCGCAAAGCACTTTCTGAGAATGCTTCTCTCTAGTTTGTATGTGTATATATCCCTTTTACAACGAATTCCTCAGAGAGCTCCAAATATCCACAAGCAGATTCTGCAAAAGCAGTGTTTCAAAACTGCTCTATCAAAAGAAAGGTTCAACTCTGTGAGTTGAATGCACTCATCATCAGAACTTTCTGAGAATACTTCTGCCTAGTTTTTTCTGAAGATAGCCCATTTCCAACGAATTCCTGAAAAAGTTTCATATATCCACAAGCAGATGCTACAAAAGAAGTGTTTCAAAACTGCTCTATCAAAAGAAAGGTTCCACTCCGTGAATTGAAAACAGACATCACAAAGGAGTTTCTGAGCATGCTTCTGTCTTGTTTTTATGTGAAGATATTTCCTTTTCCACCGTAGGCATCAAAGCTCTCCAAATGAACACTTGCAGATATGACCAAAAGAGTGTTTCAAAACTGTTCTGTCAAAAGAAAGATTCAAATCCGTTAGCTGAATGCACACATCACAAAGAAGTTCCTGAGAATACTTCTGTCTAGTTTTTATGTGAAGATATTACCTTTTCCAACAGAGGCCTCAAATCGCTCCAAATATCCACCTGCAGATTCTACAAAAAAACTGTTTCCAAACTGCTCTATCAAAAGAAAGGATCAACTCTGTGAGTTGAATGCACACATCACAAAGCAGTTTCTGAGAATGCTTCTGTCTAGTTTTTATGAGAAGTTATTTCTTTTTCCACCATAGGCCTCAAATCGCTCCAAATATCCATTTGCAAGTGACACCAAAAGACTGTTTCAAAACTGCTCTCTGAAAAGGAAGGTTGAACTCTGTGAGTTGAACACACACATCACAAAGCAGCTTCTAAGAATAATTCTGTCTAGTTTGTTTGTGAAGATATCCCGTTTACAACGAATTCGCCAAAGAGCTCCAAATATCCACAAGCAGATTCTACAAAAGCAGTATTTCAAAACTGCTCCATCAAAAGAAAGGTTCAACTCTGAGAATTGAATGCACATATCACAAAAAAGTTCCTGAGAATGCTTCCATGTAGTTTTCATGTGAAGATATTTCCTTTTCCACCAGAGGCCTCAAAGCGCTCCAAATGAACACTTGCAGATTTTACAGAAAGAATGTTTCAAACCTGCTCCATCAGAAGAGAGGTTCAACTCTTTTAGCTGAATATACACATCACAAGGAAGTTCCTCAGAATGCTTCTGTCTAGTTTTTATGTGAAGATATATCATTTTTCAAAAGAGGCCTCAAATCGCTACAAATATCCACCTGCAGATTCTACAAAAAGACTGTTTCAAAACTGCTCTATCAAAAGAAAGACTCAACTCTGTGAATTGAATGCACGCATCACAAAGCAGTTTCTCAGAATAGTTTTGTCTAGTTTTTATGTAAAGATATTTCCTTTTCCACCATAGGCCTCAAATCGCCCCAAATATCCACTTGCAGGTAATACCAAAAGAAATATTTCAAAAGTCCTCTCTGAAAAGGAAGGTTGAATTCTGTGAATTAAGTGCACACATCACAAAGCAGCTTCTGAGAATGCTTCTGTATAGTTTCTATGTGAAGATATACTGTTTACAACGAATTCCTCAAAGAGCCCTTATTGTCCACAAGCATAGTCTACAAAAGGTGTGTTTCAAAGCTGCTGTATCAAAAGAAAGGTTAAACTATGTGAGTTTAATGCACACATCACACAAAAGTTTCTGAGATTGCTTCTGTCTAGTTTTTATGTGAAGATATTACCTTTTCCACCATAGGCTTCAAAGCACTCCAAATGAACACTTGCAGATTATACAGAAAGAATGCTTCAAATCTGCTCTATCAAAAGAAAGGTTCAACTCTGTGAGTTGAACGCACACATCACATAGAACTTTCTGAGAATACTTCTGTCTAGTTTTTATGTGAAGATATTACTTTTTCCAACATAGGCTTCAAAGCGCTCCAAATGAACACTTGCAGATACTACAAAAAGACTGTTTCAACACTGCTCTAATGAAAGAAGGGTTCCACTCTATGAGGTGAATGCACACATCAAAAAGCAGTTTCCGAGAATGCCTCTGTCTAGTTTGTATGTGTAGATATCCCGTTTACGACGAATTCCTCAAGGAACTCCAAATATCCACAAGCAGATTCTACAAAAGCAGTGTTTCAAAACTGCTCTATCAAAAGAAACGTTCAACTGACTGAATTGGATGCACTCATCACAAAAATGTTTCTGAGAATGCTTCTGTCTAGTTTTCATGTGAAGATATTTCGTTTTCCATCATAGGCCTCAAGGTGCTCCAAATGAACACTTGCAGATAATACAGAAAGAATGTTTCAAATATGCTCTATCAAAAGAAAGGTTCAACCCTGTGAGTTGAATGCACACATCACATAGAACTTTCTGAGAATACTTCTGCCTAGTTTTTTCTGAAGATAGTCCGTTTCCACTGAATTCCTCAAAAAGTTTCATATATCCATAAGCAGATTCTACAAAAGAAGTGTTCCAAAACTGCTCTATCAAAAGAAAGGTTCCACTCGTGAATTGAACACAGATATCACAAATGAGTTTCTGAGAATGCTTCTGTCTAGTTTTTATGTGAACATGTTTCCTTTTCAACCATAGGCATCAAAGCTCTCCAAATGAACACTTGCAGATTTTATCAAAAGAGTGTTTCAAAACTGCTCTGTCCAAAGAAAGGTTCAACTGTGTTAGCTGAATGCACACATCACAACAAGTTCCTAAGAATGCTTCTGTCTAGTTTTTATGTGAAGATACATCCTTTTCCAACAGAGGCCTCAAACCGCTCCAAATATCAACTTGTAGGTAACACCAAAAGACTGTTTCAAAACTGCTCTCTGAAAAGGAAGGTTGAACTATGTGAGTTGAAAGTACGCATCACAAAGCAGCTTCTGAGAATGCTTCTGTCTAGTTTGTATGTGAAGATATCCCGTTTACAACGAATTCTTCAAAGAGTTCCAAATATCCACAAGCAGATCCTTCAAAAGCAGTGTTTCAAAACTGCTCCATCAAAAGAAAGGTTCAACGGTGTGAACTGAATGTATACTTCACAAAAATTTCTGAGAATGCTTCTGTCTAATTCTCATGTGAAGATATTTTCTTTTCCACAATAGGCCTCAAATCGCTCCAAATATCCACTTGCAGGCAACACCAAATACTATTTCAAAACTGCTCTCTGAAAAGAAAGGATGAACTCTGTGAGTTGAATGCACACATCACATAGCAGCTTATGAGAACGAGTCTTTCTAGTTTGCATGTGATGATATCCTGTTTACAACGAATTCCTCAAAGAGCTCCAAATTTCCACAAGGAGATTCTACAAAAGGTGTGTTTCAAAACTGCTCTATCAAAAGAAAGGTTCAACTCTGTGCGTTGAATGCACACATCCCAAAATAGTTTCTGAGAATGCTTCTGTCTAGTTTTTATGTGAAGACGTTACCTTTTCCACCACAGGCTTCACAGCGCTCCAAATGAAAACTTGCAGATTCTACAAAAGACTGTTTCAAAAGTGCTCCATCAAAGGAAGGGTTCAACTCTGTGAGGTGAAGGCACACATCACAAAGCAGTTTCTAAGAATGTTTCTGTCTATTTTTTATGTGAAGATATTTCATTTTCCACCAAAGGGCTCAAATCGCTCCAAATATCCACATGAAGATACCACAAAAACACCATTTTAAAACTGCTCTCTCAAAAGGAAGGTTCCACTCTGTGAGGTGAATGCACACACCACAAAGGAGTTTCTGATAATGTTTCTGTCTTGTTTTTATGTGAAGATATTTCCTTTTCCACCAGAGGCCTCAAATCTCTCCAAATATCCACATGCAGGTAACACCAAAAACTTGTTTCAAAACTGCTCTCTGAAAAGGAAGGTTGAACCCTGTGAGTTGAACACAAACATCACAAAGAAGCTTCTGAGAATGCTTCTGTCTAGTTTTTATGTGAAGACATTTCCTTTTCCACCATAGGCCTCAAATCCCTGCAAATATCCACTTGCAGATTTTACAAAAAGACTGTTTCAAAACTGCTCCCTGAAAAGGAAGGTTGAACTATGAGAGTTGAAAGCACACATCACAAAGCAGTTTTTGAGAATGTTTCTGTCTAGTTTGTATGTGAAGATATCCTGTCTACAACGAATTCCTCAAAGAGCTCCAAATATCCACAAGCAGATTCTACAAAAGCAGTGTTTCAAAACTGCTCCATCAAAAGAAAGGTTCAATTCTGTGAATTGAATGCACACATCACATAAAAGTTTCTGAGAATGCTTCTGTCAAGTTTTCATGTGAAGATATTTCCTTTTCCACAATAGTCCTCAAAGCGTTCAAAAAGAACACTTGTGGATTATACAGAAAGAAAGTCTCAAATCTCCTCTATCAAAAGAAAGGTTCAACTCTGTGAGTTGAATGTATACATCACAAAGTACTTTCTGAGAATGCTTCTGTGTAGTTTGTATATGAGGATACCAGTTTCCAATGACTTCCCCAAGAGTTCCAAGTATCCACAAGCAGATTCCACAAAAGGAGTGTTTCAATACTGCTCTATCAAAAGACAGGTTCAACTCTGCTATATGAATGCACAGATCTCAGAGAAGATCCTGGGAATGATTCTGTCTAGTTTTTATGTGAAGGTATTTCCTTTTCCACCATAGGCTTCAAAGCACTCCAAATGAACACTTGCAGATACTACAAAAAGACTGTTTCAACACTGCTCTAACAAAAGAAGGGTTCCACTCTGTGAGGTGATTGCACACATCTCAAAGAAGTTTCTAAGAATGCTTCTATCTACTTTGTATGTGTAGATATCACGTTTACAACGAATTCTTCAAAGAGCTCCAAATACCCACAAGCAGATTCTACAAAAGCAGTGTTTCAAAACTGCTCTATCAAAAGAAAGGTTCAACTCTGTGAATTGAGTACACACATCACGAAAAAGTTTCTGAGAATGCTTCTGTCTAGTTTTCATGTGAAGATATTTCCTTTTCCACCATATGCCTCAAAACGTTCCAAATGAACACATGCAGATTATACAGAAATAATGTTTCATATATACTCTATCAAAAGAAGGTTCAACTCTGTGAGTTGAATGCACTCATCACAAAGAAGTTTCTGAGAATACTTCTGCCTAGTTTTTTTCTGAAGATAGCCCGTTTCCAACGAATTCCTGGAAAAGTTTCATATATCCACAAGCAGATTCTCCAAAGAATTGTTTTAAAACTGCTCTATTAAAAGAAAGGTTCCACTCTATGAATTGAACGCAGACATCACAAAGGAATTTCTGAGCATGCTTCTGTCCATTTTTTATGTGAAGATATTTCCTTTTCCACCATAGACATCAAAGCTCTCCAAATGAACACTGGCAGATTTTAACAAAAGAGTGTTTCAAAACTGCTCTGTCAAAAGAAAGGTTCAACTCTGTTAGCTATATGCACACATCACAATGAAGTTCCTGAGAATGCTTCTGTCTAGTTTTTATGTGAAGATATATCCTTTTCCAACAAAGGCTTCAAATCGCTCCAAATATCCACTTGCAGATTCTACAAAAAGACTGTTTCCAAACTGCTCTATCAAAAGAAAGGATCAAATCTGTGAGTTGAATGCACACATCACAAAGCAGTTTCTGAGAATGATTCTGTCTTGTTTTTCTGTGTATATATTTCATTTTCCACCATAGGCCTCAAATTGCTCCAAATATCCACTTGCAGGTAACACCAAAGGAGTGTTTCAAAACTGCTCTCCGAAAAGGAAGGTTGAACTCTGTGAGTTGAACGCACACATCACAAAGCAGCTTCTGAGAATGCTTATGTCTAGTTTGTATGTGAAGATATCCCTTTTAAAACGAATTCCTCAAAGAGCTCCAAATATCCACAAGGAGATTCTAGAAAAGGTGTGTTTAAAACTGCTCTCTCAAAAGAAAGGTTCGACTATGTGAGTTGAATGCACACATCCCAAAAAAATTTCTGAGAATGCTTCTGTGTAGTTTTTATGTGAAGATATTTCCTTTTCCACCACAGGCTTCAAAGCACTCCAAATGAACACTTGCAGATTCTACAAAAAGACTGTTTCAAATCTGCTCCATCAAAGGAAGGATTCAACTCTGTGAGTTGAATGCACACACCACAAAGCAGTTTCTGAGAATGCTTCTGTCTATGTTTTTGTGAAGATATTTAATTTTCCACCGTAGGACTCAAATCGCTCCAAATATCCATTTGCAGGTAACATCAAAGGACAGTTTCAAAACTGTTCTCTGAAAAGGAAGGTTGAACTCTGTGAGTTGAACGCACACATCACAAAGCAGCTTCGGAGAATGCTTCTGTCTCGTTTGTATGTGTAGATATCCCTTTTACAACTAATTCCTCAAAGAGCTCCAAATATCCACAAGCAGATTCTACAAAAGCAGTGGTTCAAAACTGCTCTCTCAAAAGAACGATTCAGCTCTGTGAATTCAATGTACACATCACAAACATTTCTGAGAACTCTTCTGTCTAGTTTTCATATAAAGATAATTCCTTTTCCACCTTAGGCCTCAAAGCACACCAAATGAATACTTGCAGATTACACAGAAACAATGTTTCTAATCTGCTCTATCAAAAGAAAGGTTCCACTCTGTGAGTTGAATGCACACATCACAAAGTATTTTCTGAGAATACTTCCGCCTAGTTTTTTTCTGAAGATAGCCCGTTTCCAACGAATTCCTCAAATTTTCATATATCCAAAAGCAGATTTTGCAAAAGAAATATTTCAAAACTGCTCTATCAAAAGAAAGTTTCCACTTTGTGAATTGAACTCTCACATCACAAAGGAGTTTCTTAGAATGCTTCTGTCTATTTTTTATGTGAAGTTACTTCCTTTTCCACCATGGACCTCAAAGTTCTCCAAATGAACACTTGCAGATTTTACCAAAAGAGTGTTTCAAAACGGCTCTGTCAAAAGAAAGGCTCAACTCTGGGGGTTGAATGCACACATCACAAAGCAGTTTCTGAGAATGCTTCTCTCTAGTTTTTCTCTGAAGGTATTTCCCTTTCCACCATAGGCCTTAAACCGCTCCAAATATGCACTTGCAGGTAACTCAAAAAAACTGTTTCAAAACTGCTCTCCGAAAAGGAAGTTTGAATGCTCTGAGTTGAACGCACACATCACAAAGCAGCTTCTGAGAATGCTTCTGTCTTGCTTGTATGTGAAGATATCCCCTTTACAAATAATACCTCAAAGAGCTCCAAATATCCACAAGCAGATTCTACAAAAGGTGTGTTTCAAAACTGCTTTATCAAAAAAAAGTTCAAGTATGTGATTTAAATGCACACATCACCAAAAGTTTCTGAGAATGATTCTGTCTAGTTTTTATGTGAAGATATAAACTTTTCCAGCATAGGCTTCAAAGCGCTCCAAATGAACACTTGCAGATACCACAAAAAGACTGTTTCAAAGGTGCTCCAGCAAAGGAAGGGTTCAACTCCGTGAGTTGAATGCACACATCAAAAAGCAGTTTCTGAGAATCCTTCTGTCCAATTTTTACGTGACAATATTTCCTTTTCCACCATAGGCCTGAACTCGCTCCTAATATCCACTTGCAGATACTACAAAAACACTGTTTCAAAACTACTCTCTCAAAAGGAAGGTTCAAATCTGTGATTTGAATGCACACATCACAAAGCAGTTTCTGAGAATGCTTCTAGTTTGCATATGAAGATATCCCGTTTACAACGAATTCCTCAAAGAGCTCCAAATATCGTCAAGCAGATTCTACAAAAGGTGTGTTTCAAAACTGTTCTATCAAAAGAGAGGGTCAACACTGTGAGTTGAATGCGCACATCACAATGCAGGTTCTGAGAATGCTTTTTATTTGTATGTGAAGATATCCCATTTACAACGAATTCCTCAAAGAGCTCCAAATATCCACAAGCAGATTCTACAAAAGGAGTGTTTCAAAACTGCTCTATCAAAAGAGAGGTTCAACTCTGTGAGCTGAATGCAGACATCACAAAAAAGTTTCAGAGAATGCTTCTGTCTAGTTTTTATGTGAAGATATTTCCTTTTCCACCATAGGACTCGAAGCACTCAAAAAGAACACTTGCAGATTATACAGAAAGAAAGTTTCGATTCTGCTCTATCAAAAGAAATGTTCAATTGTGTAAGTTGAATGCACACATCACAAAGAACTTTCTGAGATTGCTTCTTTATAGTTTTTACATGAAGATACCCGTTTCCAAAGAATTCCCCAAGAGTTCCAAATATCCAGAAGCAGATTCCACAAAATGAGTGTTTCAATACTGCTTTATCAAAAGACAGGTTCAACTCTGTTAGTTGATTGCACACTACTCAAATTAGAACGTGGGAATGCTTCTGTGTAATTTTTATGTGAAGATATTTCTTTTTCCCCCATAGGCTTCAAAGCACTCCAAATGAACAATTGCAGATACTACAAAAAGACTGTTTCAAAACTGCTGTTACAAAAGAAGAGCTCCAGTCTGTGAAGTAAATGCACACATCACAATGCAGTTTCTGAGAATGCTTCTGTCTAGGTTGCATGTATAGATATCCTGTTTAAAACGAATTCCTCAAAGAGCTCCAAATAACCACAAGCAGATTCTACAAAAGCAGTGTTTCAAAACTGCTCTATCAAAAGAAATGTTCTACTCTGTGAATTGAATGCACACACCACAAAAAAGTTTCTGAGAATGCTTCTGTCTAGTTTTCATGTGAAGATATTTCCTTTTCCACCATAGGCCTCAAAGTGCTCGAAATGAACACTTGCAGATTATACAGAAAGAGTGTTTCAAATCTGCTCTATCAAAAGAAAGGTTCAACTCTGTGAGTTGAATGCACACATCACAAAGAAGTTTCTGAGAATACTTCTGCCTAGTTTTTTTCTGAAGATAGCCCGTTTCCAACGAATTCCTGAAAAAGTTTCATATATCCACAGGCAGATTCTACAAAAGAAGTGTTTCAAAACTGCTCTATCAAAAGAAAGGTTCCACTCTGTGAATTGAACACAGACATCACAAAGGAGTTTCTGAGAATGCTTCTGTCTAGTTTTTATGTGAAGATATTTCCTTTTCCACCGTAGGCATCAAAGCTCTCCAAATGAACACTTGCAGATTTTACCAAAAGAGTGTTTCAAAGCTGCTCTGTCAAAAGAAAGGTCTAACTCTGTTAGCTGAATACACACGTCACAAAGAAGTTCCTGAGAATGCTTCTGTCTGGTTTTTATGTGAAGATATATCCTTTTCCAACATAGGCCTCAAATAGCTCCAAATATAAACTTGCAGATAACCCCAAAAGACTGTTTCAATACTGCTCTCTGAAAAGGAAGGTTCAACTCTGTGAGTTGAACGCACACGTCTCATAGCAGCATCTGAGAATGCTTCTGTCTAGTTTATATGTGAAGATGTCCCATTTACAACAAATTCCTCAAAGAGATCAAAATATCCACAAGGAGAGTCTACAAAAGGTGTGTTTCAAAGCTGCTCTATCAAAAGAAAGGTTCATCTCTGTGAGTTGAATGCATACATCACAAAAAAGTTTCTGAGAATGCTTCTCTCTAGTTTTTACGTGAATATATTACCTTTTCCACCATAGGCTTCAAAGCGTTGCAAATGAACACTTGCAGATTCTAAAAAAAGGACTGTTTCAAAAGTGCTCCATCAAAGGAAGGGTTCAAATCTGTGAGTTGAATGCACACATCACAGAGCAGTTTCTGGGAATGCTTCTGTCTAGTTTCTATGTGAAGATATTACCTTTTCCACAATAGGCCTCAAATCGCTCAAAATATCCACTTGCAGGTAACACCAAAACACAGTTTCAAAACTGCTCTCTGAAAAAGAAGATTGAATTCTGTGAGTTGAACGCACAGATCACATAGCAGCATCTGAGAATGCTTCTGTCTAGTTTGTATGTGAAGATAACCCATTTACGATGAATTCTTTGAAGAGTTCTAATACCCACAACAGATTCTACAAAAGGTGTGTTACAAAACTGCTCTATCAAAAGAAAGCTTCAACTTTGTGAGTTGAATGCACACATCACAAAAAAGTTTCTGAGAATGCTTCTGTCTAGTTTTTATATGAAGATATTACCTTTTCCACCATAGGCTTCAAAGCGCTCCAAATGAACACTTGTAGATTCTACAAAAGGATGTTTCCAAACTGCTCCATCAAAGGAAGGATTCAACTCTGTGAGTTGAATGCACACAAGAGAAAACAGTTTCTGAGAATACTTCTGTCTAGTTTTTATGTGAAGATATTTCCTTTTCCTCCATAGGCCTATAATCGCTCAATATATACCCTTGCAGATACTACAAAAACACTGTTCCAAAACTGCTCTCTGAAAATGTAGGTTCAACTCTGTGAGTTGAATACACACATCACAAAGCAGTTTCTGATAATGCTCCTAATTTGTATGTGAAGATATCCTGTTTACAAAGAATTCCTCAAAGAGCTCAAATATACACAAGCAGATTCTCCAAAGAGTGTTTCAAAACGGCTCTATCAAAAGAGAGGTTCAAATCTGTGAGTTGAATGCACACATCACAAAAAAGTTTCTGAGAATGCTTCTGTCTAGTTTTTATGTGAAGATATTTCCTTTTCCAACTTAGCCCTCAAATCACTCCAAATATCCACTGGCATATACTACAAAAACACTGTTTCAAAATTGCTCTCTCAAAAGGAAGGTTCATCTCTCTGAGTTGACTGCACATATCACACAGCAGTTTCTGAGAAAGCTTCTAGTTTGTATGTGAAGGGATCCCGTATACAACGAATTCCTCAAAGGGCTCCAAATATCCTCAAGCAGATTCTACAAAAGGAGTGTTTCGAAACTGCTATATAAAAAGAAATGTTCAACTCTGTGAGTTGAATGCACAGATCACAAAGAACTTTCTGAGAAGGCTTCTGCTACTTTTTATATGAAGATACCGGTTTCCAAAGAATTCCCCAAGTGTTCCAAATATCCACAAGCAGATTCTACAAAAGGAGTGTTTCAATACTGCTCTATCAAAAGACAGGTTCAACTCTGTTAGTTGCAAGCACACATCTAAAAGTAGATCCTGGGAATGTTTCTGTCGAGTTTTTATGTGAAGATATTGCATTTTCCAACATAGGACTCAAAGCTCTCCAAATGAACACTTGCAGATACTACAAAAGACTGTTTCAAAACTGCTCTAAGAAAAGAAGGGTTACACTCTGTGAGGTGTATGCGTACATCAGAAAGCAGTTTGTGAGAAATCTTCTGTCTACTTTGTATGTGTACATATCCCGTTTACAACGAATTCCTCAAAGAGCTCCAAATATCTAGAAGGAGATTCAACAAAAGCAGTGTTTCAAAACTGCTCTATTGAAAGAAAGTTTCAAATCTGTGAGTTGAATGCACACATCACAAAAAAGTTTCTGAGAATGCTTCTGTCTAGTTTTTATGTGAAGATATTTTCTTTTCCACCATAGGCCTCAAAGCCCTCCAAATGAACACTTGCAGATTATAGAAAGAATGTTTCAAATCTGCTCTATCAAAAGAAAGGTTCAACTCTGTGAGTTGAATGCACACATCACAAATAATTTTCTGAGAATACTTCTGCATAGTTTTTTTCTGAAGATAGCCCGTTTCCAATGAATTCCTCAAAAAGTTTCATATATCCAAAGCAGATTCTACAAAAGAAGTGTCTCAAAACTGCTGTATCAAAAGAAAGGTTCCACTCTGTGAGTTGAACACACACATCACAAAGGAGTTTCTAAGAATGCTTCTGTCCAGTTTTCTTGTGAAGATATTTGCTTTTCCACCATAGGACTCAAAGCTCTCCAATGAACACTGTCAGATTTTACCAAAAGAGTTTTTCAAAACTGATCTGTCAAAAGAAAGGTTCAAATCTGTTACCTGAATGCACACATCACAAAGAAGTTCCTGAGAATGCTTCTGTCAAGTTTTTATGGAAGATATATCCTTTTCCAACAGAGGCCTCAAATCGCTCCAAATATCCACCTGCAGATTCTACAAAAAGACTGTTTCAAAACTGCTCTGTCAAAAGAAAGGCTCATCTCTGTGAGTTGAATGCACACATCACTAAGTAGTTTCTGACAATGCTTCTGTCGAGCTTTTATGTGAAGATATTTCCTTTTCCACCATAGGCCTCAAATCCCTCCAAATATCCACTTGCAGATACTTCAAAAACACTGTTTTGTGACTGCTCTATCAAAAGGAAGGTTGAAATCTGTGAGTTGAATGGACACAGCACAAAGCAGTTTCTGAGAATGCTTCTAGTTGGTAAGAGAAGATATCCCGTTTAAAACGAATTCCTCAAAGAGCTCCAAATATCCACAAGCAGATTCTACAAAAGGAGTGTTTCAAAAGTGCTCTATCAAAAGAGAGGTTCAACTCTGTGAGTTCAATGCACACATCACAAAAAAGTTTCTGAGAATGCTTCTGTCTAGTTTTTATGTGAAGATATTTCCTTTTCCACCATAGTCTTCAAAGCGCTGCAAATGAACACTTGCAGATTCTACAAAAAGACTGTATCAAAACTTCTACTTCAAAAGATGGTTCAACTACGTGAGTTGAATAGACACATCACAAAGCAGTTTATGAGAATGCTTCTGTCTATTTTTTATGTGAAGATATTTCCTTTTCCACCATTGACCTCAAATCGCTCAAAATATGTACATGCAGATACTACAAAAACACTGTTCCAAAACTAGTCTATCAAAAGAGAGGTTCAACTCTGTGAGTTGAATGCACACATCACAAAAAATTTTCTGAGAATGCTTCTGTCTAGTTTTTATGTGAAGATATTTCCTTTTGCACAATAGGCCACAAAGCGTTCAAAATGAACACTTGCAGATTATACAGAAAGAAAGTTTCAAATCTCCTCTATCAGAAAATGGTTCAAGTCTGTGAGTTGAATGCACACATCACAAAGAATTCTCTGAGAATGCTTCTGTCTAGTTTTTATGTGAAGATGCCCGTTTCCAACGAATTCCCGACAGTTCTAAATATCCACGAGCAGATTCCACAAATAGCGTGTTTCAAATAGTGCTCTATCAAAAGACAGTTTCAACTCTCTTAGTTGAATGCACACATCTCAAAGAAGATCCTGGGAATGCTTCTGTCTAGTTTTTAAGTGAAGATATTTCCTTTTCCACCATAGGCTTCAAAGAGCTCCAAATGAACATGCAGATACAACAAAAAGACTTTTTCAAAACTGCTCTAACAAAAGAAGGGTTCCACTCTGTGATGTGAATCCACACATCACAGAGCAGTTTCTGAGAATGCTTCTGTCTAGTTTGTATGTGTAGATATCCCGTTTACAATGAATTCCTCAAATAGATCAAAATATCCACAAGCATATTGTACAAAAGGTGTGTTTCAAAACTTCTCTATCAAAAGAAAGGTTCAACTCTGTGAGTTAAATGCAGACATCACAAAAAAGTTTCTGAGAATCCTTCTGTCTAGTTTTTTTGTGAAGATTTTACCTTTTCCACAATAGGCTTAAAAGCACTCCAAATGAACACCTGCAGATTCTAGAAAAAGACTGTTTCAAAACTGCTCCGTCAAAGGAAGGGCTCAACTCTGTGAGTTGAATGCACACATTACAAAGCAGTTTCTGAGAACGCTTCTGTCTAGTTTTTACGTGAAGGTATTTCCTTTTCCACCATAGGTATCAAATCGCACCAAATAAACACTTGCAGATACTACAAAAACACTGTTTCAAAACTGATCTCTCAAAAGCAAGGTTCAACTCTGTGAGTTGAATGCACACATCACAAAGCAGTTTCTGAGAATGTTTCTAGTTTGTATGTGAAGATATCACGTTTACAACGAATTCCTCAAAGAGCTCCAAATATCCACAAGCAGATTCTACAAAAGGAGTGTTTCAAAACTGCTCTATCAAAAGAGAGGTTCAACTCTGTGAGTTCAATGCACACATCACAAAAAAGTTTCTGACAATGCTTCTGTCTAGTTTTTATGTGAAGATATTTCCTTTTCCACCATAGGCCTCGAGGCGCTCAAAATGAACACTTGCAGTTAACACCAAAAGACTCTTTCAAAGCTGCTGTCTGAAAAGGAAGATTCACCTCTGTGAGTTAAACGCACACATCACACAGCAGCTTCTGAGAATGCTTCTGTGTAGTTTGTATGTGAAGATATCCCATTTACAACGAATTCTTCATGGAGCTCCAAATATCCACAAGCAGATTCTACAATAGTAGAGTTTCAAAACTGCTCTATCGAAAGAGAGGTTCAATTCTGTGAGCTGAATGCACACATTACAAAAAAGTTTCAGAGAATTCTTCTGTCTGGTTTTTATGCGAAGATATTTCCTTTTCCCCCTAGGCCTCAAAGCGCTCAAAATGAACACTTGCAGATTATACAGAAAGAAAGTTTCAAATCTGCTCTATTAAAAGAAAGGTTCAACTCTGTGAGCTGAATGCACACATCACCAAGCAGTTTCTGAGAATGCTTCTGTCTAGTTTTTATATGAAGACATCCGTTTCCAACGATATCCCTAAGAGTTCAAAATATCCACAAGCAGATCCCTCAAAAGGAGTGTTTCAACAATGCTCTATCAAAAGACATGTTCAACTCCGTTAGTTGAACACACACATCTCAAAGAAGATCCTGGGAATGCTTCTGTCTAGTTTTTATGTGAAGATGTTTCCTTTTCCACCATAGGATTCAAAGTGCTCCAAATGGACACTTGCAGACACTACAAAAAGACTGTTTCAACACTGCTCTAACAAAAGAAGGGTTCCACTCTGTGAGTTGAATGCACAGATCACAAAGCAGTTTCTGAGAATGCTTCTGTCTAGTTTGTATGTGTAGATATCCCGTTTACAACAAATTCCTCAAAGAGCTCCAAATATCCACAAGGAGATTCTACAAAAGCAGTGCTTCAAAATTGCTCTATCAAAAGAAAGGTTCAACTCTGTGAATTGAATGCACACATCACAAAATATTTCTGAGAATGTTTCTGTCTAGTTTTCATGTGAAGATATTTCCTTTTCCACCATAGGCCTCAAAGCGCTCCAAATGAACACCTGCAGATTATACAGAAATAATGTTTCAAATCTGCTCTATCAAAAGTTCTACACTGTGAGTGGAATGCACACATCACAAAGAACTTTCTGAGAATACTTCTGTCTAGTTTTTTTCTGAAGATAGCCCGTTTACAACGAATTCCTCAAAAAGTTTCATATATCAACAAGCAGATTTCACAAAAGAAGTGTTTGAAAACTGCTCTATCAACAGAAAGGTTCCACTCTATGATTTGAACACACACATCCCAAAAGAGTTTCTGAGAATGCTTCTGTATATTTTTATGTGAAGATATTTCCTTTTAGACCATAGGCCTCAAAGCTCTCCAAATGAACACTTGCAGATTTTACCAAAAGAGTGTTTCAAAACAGCTCTGTCAAAAGAAACGTTCAACTCTGTGAGCTGAATGCACACATCACAAAGAAATTCCTAAGAATGTTTCTGTCTAGTTTTTATGTGAAGATATATCCTTTTCCAACAGAGGCCTCAAATCGCTCAAAATATGCAACGTCTGATTCTACAAAAAGACTGTTTCAAAACTGCTCTATAAAAAGAAAGGTTCAAATATGTGAGTTGAATGCACAAATCACAAAGCAGTTTCTGAGAATGCTTCTGTCTAGTTTTTATATGAAGATATTTCCTTTTCCACCATAGGCTTCAAATCGCTCTAAATACCCACTGGCAGGTAACACCAAAAGACTGTTTCAAAACTGCTCTCTGAAAAGGAAGGTTGAACTCTGTGAGTTGAACGCACACATCACATAGCAGCTTCTGAGAATGCTTCTGTCTAGTTTGTATGTGAAGATATCCCATTTACAATGAATTTCTCAAAGAGCTCCAAATATCCACAAGCAGATTTTACAAAAGATGTGTTTCAAAACTTCTCCATCAAAAGAAAAGTTCAACTCTGTGAGTTGAATGCACACATCACAAAAAAGTTTCTGACAATGCTTCTGTCTAGTTTTTATGTGAAGGTATTTCCTTGTTCACCACAGTCTTCAACGCGCTCCAAATGAACACTTGCAAATTTTACAAAAAAACTTTTTCAAAAGTGCTCCAACAAAGGAAGGGTTCAAGTATGTGAGGTGAATGCACACATCACAAAGCAGTTCTCAGAATGCTTCTGTATAGTTTTTATGTGAAGATATTTCCTTTTCCACCATAGGCCTCAAATCGTTCCAAATATCCACTTGTAGATACTGCAAAAAACTGTTTCAAAACTTCTCTCTCAAAAGGAAGGTTCAACTCTATGAGTTGAATGCACACATCACAAAGAATTTTCTGAGAATACTTCTGCCAATTTTTTTTCTGAAGACAGCCCGTTTCCAATGAATTCCTCAAAAATTTTCATATATCCACAAGCAAATTCTACAAAAGCAGTGTTTCATATCTACTCTATCAAAAGAAAGGTTCCACTCTGTGAATTGAACACTCACATCACACAGGAGTTTCTGAGAATGCTTCTGTCTAGTTTTTATGTGAAGATATTTCCTTTTCCAACATAGGCCTCAAATCGCTCCAAATATCCACTTACAGTTAACACCAAAAGACGGTTTCAAAGCTGGTCTCTGAAAAGGAAGGTTCACCTCTGTGAGTTGAACGCACGCATCACACAGCATCTTCTGAGAATGCTTCTCTCTAGTTTGTATGTGAAGATATCCCGTTTACAAAGAATTCCTCAAAGAGCTCCAAATATCCACAAGCAGATTCTACAAAAGTATTATTTCAAAACTGCTCTATCAAAAGAGAG
>NC_000012.12:37380460-37460032 GCF_000001405.40 Homo sapiens
AAAACTACACAGAAGTATTCTCAGAAAGTTCTTTGTGATGTGTGCATTCAACTCACAGAGTTGAACCTTTCTTTTGATAGAGCAGATTTGAAACTTTCTTTCTATATAATCTGCAAGTGTTCATTTTGAGCGCTTTGAGGCCTGTGGTGGAAAAGGAAATATCTTCACATAAAAACTAGACAGAAGCATTCTCAGAAAATTTTTTGGGTTGTGTGCATTCAATTCACAGTGTTGAACTTTTCTTTCTATAGAGCAGTTTTGAAACACGGCTTTTGTAGAGTCTGCTTGCTGGTATTTGGAGCTCTTGAAGGAATTCGTTGTAAACGGGATATCTTCACATGCAAAGTAGACAGAAGTATTCTCAGAAACTTCTTTGTTATGTGTGCATTCAAGTCACAGTTTTGAACCTTGCTTTAAGAGAGCAGTTTTGAAACAGTGTTTTTATAGTGTCTGCAAGTGGATATTTGGAGCGATTTGAGGCCTATTATGGAAAAGGAAATATCTTCACATAAAAACTAGACAGAAGCATTCTCAGAAACTGCTTTGTGATGTGTGCATTCACCTCAGAGAGTGGAAAACTTCTTTTGATAGAGCAGTTTTGAAACAGTCTTTTTGTAGTATCTGCAAGTGTTCTTTTGGAGCGCTTTGAAGCCTATGGCCGAAAAGGAAATATCTTCACATAAAAACTAGACAGAAGAATTCTCAGAAAGTTATTTGTGATGTGTGCATTTAACACACAGAGTTGAAACTTTCTTTTGATAGAGGAGTTTTGAAACACTCTTTTTGTAGAATCTGCTTGTGGATATTTGGATCTCTTTGAGGAATTCATGGTAAACAGGATATCTACACATAGAAAATAGAAGCATTCTCAGAAACCGCTTTGTGATGTGTGCATTCAAATCACAGAGTTGAACATTCCTTTTGAGAGAGCAGTTTTGAAACATTGTTGTTGTAGTATCTGCAAATGGATATTTGGAGCGATTTGAGGCCTGTTTTGAAAAAGGAAATATCTTCACATAAAAACTAGACAGAAACATTCTCAGGACCTTCGTTGAGATGTGTGCATTCAACTAACAGAGTTAAACCTTTCTTTTTGTAGAGCACTTTTGAAACACTCCTTTTACAGGATCTGCAATAGTTGACTTTTAGTGCTTTGAGGCATAAGGTGTAAAAAGAAATATAATCACATAAAAACTAAACAGAAGCATTCTCAGAAACTTCTTTGTGATGTGTGCATTCAACTCACAGAGTTGAAAGTTCCTTTTCTGAGTCCAGCTTTGTAATAGTATTTTGGAAATTCTGCCAGAGGATATTTGGAGCGATTTGAGGCCTACGTTGGAAAAGGAAATATCTTCACATAAAAACTAGACAGAAACATTCTCAGGACCTTCATTGAGATGTGTGCATTCAACTAACAGAGTCAAACCTTTCTTTTTGTAGAGCACTTTTGAAACACTCCTTTTACAGGATCTTCAATAGTTGACTTTTAGCGCTTTGAGGCATAAGGTGTAAAAAGAAATATAATCACATAAAAACTAAACAGAAGCATTCTCAGAAACTTCTTTGTGATGTATGCATTCAACTCACAGAGTTGAAAGTTCCTTTTCTGAGTCCAGCTTTGTAATAGTATTTTGGAAATTCTGCCAGAGGATATTTGGAGCGATTTGAGGCCTACGTTGGAAAAGGAAATATCTTCACATAAAAACTAGACAGAAGCATTCTCAGGAACTTCTGTGTGATGTGTGGATTCAGCTAACAGAGTTGAAACTTTCTTTTGATAGTGCAGTTTTGAAACACACTTTTTGTAGAATCTTCAAGTGTTCATTTGGAGCGCTTGGAGGCCTATGGTGGAAAAGAAATTATCTTCACATATAAACCATAACGAAGCTTTCTCAGAAACTCCTTCATGATGTGTGCATTCAACTCAAGGTGTTGAACCTTTCTTTTGATAGAGCAGTTTTGAAACACTCCTTTTGGAGAATCTGCTTCTGCATAATTGGAGCTCTTTGAGGAATTCTTTGTAAACGGGATATCGTTACACACAAAACAGAAGTATTCTCAGAAACTGCTTTGTGATATGTGCATTCAACTCACAGAGTTGAATCTTCCTTTTGAGAGAGCAGTATTGAAAGAGTGTTTTTGTGGTATCTGCAAGTGGATATTTGGAGCAATTTGAGGCCTATGGTTGAAAGTGTAATATCTTCGCATAAAAACTAAACAGAAGCATTCTCAGAAACTGCTTTGTGATGAGCGCATTAAACTGACAGTGTTGAACCTTTCCTTTGATTGAGCAGTTTTAAAACAGTCTTTTTGTAGAATCTGCTCATGAATATTTCGAACTGTTTGAGGAATTCGTTGGAAACGGGATATCTTCACAAAAAAACTAGACAGAAGCATTCTCAGAAACAGCTTTGTGATGTGTGTGTTCAATTCACAGAGTTGAACCTTTCTTTTGATAGAGCAGTTTTGAAACACTCCTTTTCTAGAATCTGCTTGTGGATATATTGAACTATTTGAGAAATTCATTGGAAACATGCTATCTTCGGAAAAAAACTAGACAGAAATATTCTCAAGAAGTTCTCTGTGATGTGTGCATTCAACTCACAGAGTTGAACCTTTCTTTTGATGGAGCAGATTTGAAACATTCTTTCTCAATAATCTGCAAGTGTTCATTTTGAGCGCTTAGAGGCCTATGGTGGAAAAGGAAATATCTTCTCATAAAAACTAGACAGAAGCATTCTCAGAAACTTTTTTGTGATGCGTGCATTCAACTCACAGAGTTGAACCTTTCTTTTGATAGAGCAAGTTAGAAACACTCCTTTTGTAGAATCTGCTTGTGGATATTTGGAGATCTTTGAGGAATTAGTTGTAAATGGGATACCTTCACATACAAAATAGAAGCATTCTTAGAAACTGTTTTGTGATGTGTGCATTCAACTCACAGTGTTGAGCCTTCCTTTTGAGAGAGCAGTTTTGAAACAATATTTTTCTAGTATCTGCAAGTGGATATTTTGAGCGATTTGAGGCCTATGGTGGAAAAGGAAATATCTTCATATTAAAACTAGACAGAAGCATTCTGAGAAACTGCTTTGTGATGTGTGCATTCAACTCACAGAGTTGAACCCTTCCTTTGATACAGCAGTTTTGAAACAGTCTTTTTGTAGAAACTGAAGTGTTCATTTGGAGCACTTTGAAGCCAATGGTGGAAAAGGTAATATCTTCACATAAAAACTAGACAGAAGCATTCCCAGAAACTTTTTTGTGATGTGTGCATTGAACTCACAGAATTGAACCTTTCTTTTGATAGAGCATTTTGGAAACACTCGTTTTGTAGAATCTGCTTGGGGATATTTGGAGCTCTTTGAGGAATTCGTTGTAAACAGGATATCTTCACATACGAAGTGTACAGAATAATTCTCGGAAACTGCTTTGTGATGTGCGCATTCATCTAACAGAGTTGAACCTTCCTTTTGTGAGAGCAGTTTTGAAACAATCTTTTTGTGATACCTGCAAGTTGATATTTTGAGTGATTTGAGCACTTTGATGGAAAAGGAAATATCTTCACATAAAAACTAGAGAGAAGCATTCTCAGAAACTGCTTTGTGATGTGTGCATTCAACTCACAGAGTGAAGCCTTTCTTTTGATATAGCAGTTTTGAAACAGTCTTTTTGTAGAATCTGCAGGAGGATATTTGGAGCGACTTGAAGCCTGTGTTGGAAAAGGGTATATCTTCCCAAAAAAAGTAGACAGAAGCATTCTCAGGAAATTCTTTGTGATGTTTGCACTCATCTGATATAGTTGAACATTTCTTTTGACAGAGCAGTTTTGAAACACTCTTTTTTTAAAATCTCCAATTGTTCATTTGGAGAGCTTTGAGGCCTAAGGAGGAAAAGGAAATATCTTCATATAAAAACTAGACAGAAACATTCTCAGAAACTCCTTTGTGATGTGTTTGTTCAATTCACAGAGTTGAAACTTTCTTTTGATGGAGCAGTTTTGAAACACTGCTTTTGTAGAATCTGCTTTTGGATATTTGGAACTCTTTGAGGAATTCGTTGGAAACGGGCCACCTTCACAAAAAAAACTAGACAGAAGTATTCTCAGAAAGTTCCTTGTGATGTGTGCATTCAACTCACAGAGTTGAGCCTTTCTTTTGATACAGCATGTTTTAAACTTTCTTTCTGTATAATCTGCAAGTGTTCATTTGGAGCACTTTGGGGCCTATGGTGGAGAAGGAAATATCTTCACATAAAAACTAGTCAGAAGCATTCTCAGAAACTCCTTTGTGTTGTGTGTGTTCAATTCACAAAGATGAACCTTTCTTTTGATAGAGCAGCTTTGAACCAATCCTTCTGTAGAATCTGCTTTTGGATATTTGGAACTTTTAAACTATTCTTTGGAAATGGGCTATCTTCACAAAAAAAACAGAGGGAAATATTCTCGGAAAGTTCTGTGTGATGTGTGCATTCAACTCACAGAGTAGAACGTTTCTTATGATAGACCAGATTTGAAACATACTTTTTGTATAATCTGCAAGTGTTTATTTTGAACGTTTTGAGGCCTATGGTGGAAAAGGAAATATTTTCACTTAAAAACTAGACAGAAACATTCTCAAAAACTTTTGTGTGATGTGTGCATTCAACTGACAGAACTGAATCTTTCTTTTGATGGAGTCGTTTTGAAACACTGCTTTTGTAGAATCTGCTTTTCGATATTTGGAGCTCTTTGAGGAATTCGTTGTAAATGGGATATCTTCACGTAGAAACTAGGCAGAAACATTCTCAGAAACTGCTTGGTGATGTGTGCATTCACCTCACAGTGTTGAACCTTCGTTTTGACAGGGCAGTTTTGAAACAGTCTTTTTGTAGTATCTGTAAGTGGATATTTTGAGCGATTTGACTCCTATGGTGGAAAAGGAAATATCTTCACATAAAAACTAGAGACAAGCATTCTCAGGAACTAATTTGTGATGTGTGCATTCAACTCACAGATTTGAACCTTCCTTTTGAGAGAGCAGTTTTTGTGCTACCTGCAAACACTGTGGAAACAGTGTTTTTGTGGTACCTGCAAGTAGATATTTGGAGCGATTTGAGGCCTATGGTGGAAAAGGAAATATCTTCACATAAAAACTAGACAGAAGCATTCTCAGAGACTGCTTTGTGTTGTGTGCTTTCAACTCACAGAATTGAGCCTTTCTTCTGATAGAGCAGTTTTGAAACAGTCTTTCTGTAGAATCTGCAGGTGGATATTTGGAGCGATTTCAGGCCTGTGTTGGAAAGGGATATATCTTCATATAAAAACTAGACAGAAACATTCTCAGTAATTTCTTTGTGATGTGTGCATTCAGCTAAGATAGTTGAACCTTTCTTTTGACAAAGCAGTTTTGAAACACTCTTTTTGTAATATCTCCAGTGTTCATTTGGAGATCTTTGAGGCCTATGTTAGAAAACGAAATATCTTCACATAAAAACTAGACAGAAGCATTCTCAGAAACTTATTTGAGATGTGTGCATTTAACTAACAGAGTTGAATCTGTCTTTTGATAGAGCAGTATTGAAAAACTCCTTTTTTAGAATGTGCTTGTGGATATTTAGAACTCTTTGAGGAATTCTTTGGAAAAGAAAATATCTTCACAAAAAAACTAGACAGAAGCATTCTCAGAAATTTCTTTGTTATGTGTACATTCAAATCACAGAGTTGAACCTTTCCTTTGAAACAGCAGTTTTGAAACACTCCTTTTGTAGGATCTGCTTGTGGATATTTGGAGCTCTTTGAGGAATTCAGTGTAAACGGGATATATTCACATAAAAAATGGAAGCATTCTCAAAAACTACTTTGTGATGTGTGCATTCTACTCACAGAGTTGAACCTTGCTTTTGAGAGAGCAAATGTGAAACAGTGTTTTTGTAGTATTTGCAAGTGGATATTTGGGGCGACTTGAGGCCTATGGTGGAAAAGGAAATATCTTCACATAAAAACTACACTGAAGCGTTCTCAGAAACTGCTTTGTGATGTGTGCGTTCAACTAAAAGAGTTGAACCGTTCTTGTGATAGAGCAGTTTTGAAACACTCCTCTTACAGGATCTGCAAAAGTTCACTTTGAGCGCTTAAAGGCCTATGTTGGAAAACGAAATATCTTCACATAAAAACTAGACTGAAGCATTCTCAGGAACTACTTTGTGATATGTGCATTCAGCAAACAGAGTTGAACCTTTCTTTTGAAACAGCAGTTTTGAAACACTCTTTTTGTAGAATCTGCAAGTGTTCATTTGGGGCACTTTGAGGCCTCTGGTGGAAAAGAAAATGCCTTCACCTAAATACTCGACAGAAGCATTCTCAGAAACTCCTTTGTGATGTGTGTGTTGAATTCACAGAGTTGAACCATTCTTTTGATAGTACAGTTTTGAAATACTCCTTTTGTAGGATCTGCTTGTGGATATTTGGAACTCTTTGAGGAATTCGTTGTAAACGGGATACCCTCACATACAAACTAGACAGAAGCATTCTCAGAAACTGCTTTGTGATGTGCGCATTCAATTCACAGAGTCGAGCCTCACTTTTGAGAGAGGCATTTGAAACAGTCTTTTTGTAGAATCCGCAGGTGGATATTTGGAGTGATTTGAGTCCTATTGTGGAAAAGGAAATATCTTCACATAAAAACTAGACAGAAGTTTTCTCAGGAACTACTTAGAGATGAGTGCATTCAACTAACAGAATTGAACTTGTCTTTTGATAGAGCAGTATTGAAACACTCCTTTTGTAGAATCTGCTTGTGGATGTTTGTAACTCTTTGAGGAATTCCTTGAAAATAGTTATCTTCACATAAAAACTAGACAGAAGCATTCTCAGAAAGTTCTTTGTGATGTGTGTAATCAACTCACAGAATTGAACTTTCCTTTTGATAGAGCAGTTTTGAATCAGTTCTTTTGTAGATCTGCAAGTGGATATTTGGAGGGATTTGAGGCCTATGGTGGAAAAGAAAATATCTTCACATAAAAACTCGTCAGAAGATTTCTCAGAGACAGCTTTGTAGTGTGAGCATTCAAGTCACAGAGGTGAGCCTTCCTTTTGGGAGAGCAGTTTTGAATCACTCTATTTGTAGTATCTGCAGGTGGATATTTGGAGCGATTTGAGTCCTATGGTTGGAAAGGAAATATCTTCACATAAAAACTAGACAGAAGCATTCTCAGGTACTTCCTTGAGATGTTTGCATTAAACTCACAGAGTTGAACCTTTCTTTGGACAGAGCAGTTTTGAAACACTCCTTTTAAGGGATCTGCAAGTGTTCACTTTGAGCCCTTTGAGGCCTATGGTGGAAAAGGAAATATCTTCACATAAAAAGCAGACAGAAACATTCTCAGAAACTTCTTAGTGATGTGTGCATTCAACTCCCAGAGTCGAACCTTTCTTTTGATAGAGCAGTTTTGAAACACGCCTTTTATAGGATCTGCAATAGTTCACTTTGAGTGCTTTAAGGCCTATGGTGGAAAAGGAAATATATTCACAGAAAAACCAGACAGAAGCATTTTCGGAAACTTCTTCATGATGTGTGAATTCAACTCACAGAGTGGAACCTTTCTTTTGATAGAGCACTTTTGAAACACTCCTTTTATAGGATCTGCAAGAGTTCACGTTGAGCACTTTAAGGCCTATGTTGGAAAAGGAAATATCTTCAAGTAAAAACTAGACAGAAGCATTGTCATAAACCTCTTTGTGTTGTGTGCATTAGACTCACAGAGTTGAAACTTCCTTTTGTGAGAGCAGTTTTGTAACTGTCTTTTTGTAGAATCTGCCAGTGGATATTTGCAGCGATTTGAGGCCTCAGTTGGAAAAGGAAATATCTTCACATAAAAACTAGACAGAAGCAGTCTCAAATTCCTTTGTGATGTGTGTGTTCAATTCACAGAGTTGAGCGTTTGTTTTGATAGAGCAGTTTGGAAACACTCCTTTTGTAGAATCTTCTTGTGGATATTTGGAACTTTTTAGGAATTCGTTGGAAACAGGATATCCTCACAAAAAAACTAGACAGAAGTATTCTCAGAAAGTTCTTTGTGATGTGTGCATTAAACTCACAGAGTTGAACCTTTCTTTTGATAGAGCAGATTTGAAACATTCTTTCTGTATAATCTGCAAGTGTTCATTTTGAGCGCTTTGGGTCCTATGGTGGAAAAGGAATTATCTTCACATAAACTAGACAGAAGCATTCTCAGAAACTTTTTTGTGATGTGTGCATTCAACTCACAGAGTTGAACATTTCTTTTGATAGAGCAGTTTTGAATCACTCCTTTTGTGGAATCTGCTTGTGGATATTTGGAGCTCTTTGAGGAATTCGTTGTAAACGGTATATCTTCACATACAAAATAGACAAAAGCATTCTCAGATACTGCATTGTGATGTGTGCATTCAACTCACAGAGTTGAAACTTCCTTTTGAGAGATCAGTTTTGAAACAGTCGTTCTGTAGTATCTGCAAATGGATATTTGGAGCCATTTGAGGCCAATGGCCTCACATAATAAGTAGACAGAAGTACTCTCAGAAAATGCTTTGTGATGTTTGCATTGAACTCTCAGAGTGCAACATTTCCTTTGAAAGAGCTGTTTGAAACAGTCTTTTTGTAGAATCTGCCAGTGGATATTTAGAGAGATTTGAGGCTTATGTTGGAAAAGGAAATATCTTCTCATAAAAACTAGACAGAAGCATCCTCAGGAACTTCTTTGAGTTGTGTGCATTCAACTAACAGAGCTGAACCTGTATTTTGATAGAACAGTATTGACACACTCCTTTTGCAAAATCTGCTTGTAGATATTTGTAACTCTTTGAGGTATTCGTTGGAAACGGGTATCTTCACATAAAAACTAGACAGAAGCCTTCTCAGAAAGTTCTTTGTGATGTGTGCATTCAACTCAAAGAGTGGAACATTTCTTTTGATAGAGCTTTTTCATAACACACTTTTTGTAGAATCTGCAAGTGTGCAATTGGAGCGCTTTGCGGCCAAGGGTGGAAAAGGAATTATCTTCACATAAAAACTAGACAGAAGCATTCTCAAAAACTCCTTTGTGATGTGTGCATTCAACTCACAGAGTTGTACCTTTCTTTTGATAGAGCAGTTTTTAAACACACTTTTTGTAGGGTCTGCAAGTGTTCATTTAGAGCACTTTGAGGTCTATGGTGGAAAAGGAAATATCTTCACATAAAAACAAGACAGAAGAATTCTCAGAAACTTCTTTGTGATGTGTGCATTCAATTGACAGAGTTAAATCTTTCTTTTGATAGAGCAGTTTTTAAACACTCTTTTTGTAGAATCTAAAAGTGTTCATTTAGAGCGGTTTTAGGCCTATAGTGGAAAAGGAAATATCTTCACCTAAAAAATAGACAGAAGCATTGTCATAAACTTTTTTTGATGTGTGCATTCAACTGACAGATTTGAACCTTTCTTTTGATAGAGCAGTTTTGAAACACTCGTTTTGTAGAATCTGCTTGTGGATATTTGGAGCTCTTTGAGGTATTCATTGTAAACGGTATATCTTCACATACAAAATAGACAGAAGCATTCTCAGAAACTGCTTTGGGATGTGTGCATTCAACTCACAGAATTGAACCTTCCTTTCGAAGGAACAGTTTTGAAACTGTCTTTTTGTAGAATCTGCAAGTGTTCCTTTGGAGCGCTTTGAAGCCTATGATGGAAAAGGAAATATCTTCACATAAAAACTAGAGAGAAGTATTCTCAGAAAGTTATTTGTGATGTGTGCATTCAACTCACAGAGTTGAGCCTTTCTTTTGATAGAGCAGTTTTGATACAGTCTTTTTGTAGAATCTGCAGGAGGATATTTGGAGCCATTTGAGGCCTATGTTGGAAAAAGATATATCTTCACATAAAAATTAGACAGAAGCATTCTCAGAAAGTTCTTTGTGATGTGTGCATTCAACTCACGAAGATCAACCTTTCTTTCGGTAGAGAAGTTGTGAAACACTCTTCTGTAGAATCTGCAAGTGTTCATTTGGAGGGCTTTGAGGCCTACAGTGGAAAAGGAAACATCTTAACATACTATACAGAAGCATTCTCTGAAACTTCTTTGTGATATGTGCATTCAATTCACAGAGTTGAAACTTTCCTTCGTAAGAGAAGTTTTTAGACACTCTTTTTGTATAATCTGCAAGTGTTCATTTAGAGCGCTTTGTTGCCTATTGTGGAAAAGGAAATATCTTCACATAAAATCTAGACAAAACCACACTCAGAAACTTCTTTGTGATGTGTACATTCAACTCAGAGAGTTGAAACTTCCTTTTGTGAGAGCAGTTTTATAATAGTTTTTTGTACAATCTACCAGTGTATATTTTTAGCGATTTGAGACCTATGTTGGAAAAGGAAATATCTTCACATAAAAACTATACAGAAGCATTTTCAGGAAATTCTTTGTGATGTGTGTTTTCATCTAACAGAGCTGAACCTTTCTTTTGACAGAGCAGTTTTAAAACACTCTTTTTGTAGAATCTGAAAGTGGATATTTGGAGCGATTTGAGTCGTGTGGTGGAAAAGGAAATATCTTCACATAATAACTAGACAGAAGGATTTTCAGAAACTTCTTTGTGATGTGTGCATTCAACTCACAGAGTTGAAGTTTCCTTTTGTGAGAGCAGTATTTTAATAGTCTTTTTGTAGAATCTGTCAGAGGATATGTGGAGCGATTTGAGGCCTATGGTACAAAAAACGAGACAGAAGAATTCTCAGGACCTTCTTTGAGGTGAGTGCATTCAACTAACATAGTTGAACCTGTCTTTTGATAGAGCAGTATTGAAATACTCTTTTTGTAGAATCGGCAAGTGTTCATTTACAGAGCTTTGAGGCCTGTGGTGGAAAAGGAAATATCTTCAAATAAAAACTAGACAGAAGCATTCTCAGAAACTGCTTTGTGATGTGTGCATTCAACTCTCAGAGTTGAAACTTCCTTTTATGAGAGAAGTTTTGTAAGAGTCTTTTTGAACCATCTTCCAGTGTATATTTGGAGCGATTTGAGGCCTATGTTGGAAAAGGAAATATCTTCACATAAAAACTAGACAGAAGCATTCTCAGGGACTTCTTTGTGATATGTGCACTCAGCTAACAGAGTTGAACCTTTCTTTTGACAGAGCAGTTGTGAAACACTCTTTTGGTAAAATCTGCAAGTGTTCATTTGGAGCGCTTTGAGGCTTATGGTGGAAAATAAAATATCTTCACATAAAAACTAGACAGAAGCATTCTCAGAAATTCCATTTTGACGTGTGTGTTCAATTCACAGAGTTGAACCTTTCTTTGATAGAGTAGTTTTGAAACACTCCTTTTGAAGAATCTGCTTGTGGATATTTGGATCTCTTTGAGGAATTCGTTGGAAACGGTCTATCTTCACAGAAAAAGTAGACAGAAGTATTCTCAGAAAGTACTTTGTGATGTGTGCATTCAACTCACAGAGTTGAACCTTTCTTTTGATGGAGCAGATTTGAAACGTTCTTTCTCAATAATCTGCAAGTGTTCATTTTGAGCGCTTAGAGGCCTATGGTGGAAAAGGAAATATCTTCACATAAAAACTAGACAGAAGCATTCTCAGAAACATTTTTGTGATAAGTGCATTCAACTCATAGATTTGAACCTTTCTTTTTATAGAGAAATTTTGAAACACTCCTTTTGTAGAATCTGCTTTTGGATATTTGGAGCTCATTGAGGAATTCTTTGTAAACGGGATCTCTTCACATACAAATTAGACAGAAGCATTCTGAGAAACTGCTTTGTGATGTGTGCATTGAATTCACAGAGTTGAACCTTTCTTCTGAGAGAGCAGTTTTGAAACAGTGTTTTTGTAGTATCTGCAAGTGGATATTTGGAGCGATTAGGGGCCTATGGTGGAAAAGGAAATATCTTCACATAAAAACTGGACAGAAGTATTCTCAGGAACTACTTTGAGATGTGTGCATTCAACTAACAGATTTGAACCTGTCTTTTCCCACAGCAGCATTGAAACACTCTTTTTGGAGAAAATGCAAGTATTCATTTACAGCGTTTTGAGGCATATGGTAGCAAAGGAAATATCTTCACATAAAAATTAGACAAAAGCATTCTTTGAAAGTTCTTTGTGATGTGTGCATTCAACTCAGAGAGTTGAACATTTCTTTTGAAAGGGCTGTTTTGAAACATTCTATTGTAGAATCTGCAAGTGTTCATTTGGAGCGCTTTGAGGTCTAAAGTGGAAAAAGAAATATCTTCAAACAAATACTAGTCATAAGCATTCTCAGGCCCTTCTTTGAGATATGTGCCTTCAACTAACAGAGTTGAATCTGTCTTTTGATAGAGTAGTATTGAAACACTCTTTTTGAAGTATCAGCAAGTGTTCATTTAGAACGCTTTGAGGCTTATGGTGGAAAAGGAAATCTCTTCACATAAAAACTACACAGAGGCATTCTCAGAAACATCTTTGTGATGTGTGCATTCAACAAAAAGAGTTGAAACTTCTTTTTGTGAGAGTAGTTTTGTAATAGTCTTTCTGTAGTATCTGCCAGTGGATATTTGAAGCGATTTGAGGCATTTGTGGGAAAAGGAATATCTTCACATAAAAACTAGACAGAATCATTCTCAGGAACTTCTTTGTGATGTGGGCATTCAGCTAACAGAGTTGAACTTTTCTTTTGATAGAGCAGTATTGAAACACTCCTATTGAAGAATCCGCTTGTGGATATTTGGAACTCTAGGGGAATTCGTTGGTAACGGGCTATCTTCACAAAAAAGGTAGACAGAAGTATTCTCAGGAAGTTCTTTGTGATGTGCGCATTCAACTCACAGAGATGAACCTTTCTTTTGATAGAGCAGATTTGAAACACTCTTCTGTAGAATCTGCAAGTGTTCATTTTGAGCCCTTTGATGCCTACGGTGGAAAAGGAAATATCTTCACATAAATACTAGACAGAAGCAATCTCAGAAACTTCTTTGTGATGTGTGAATTCAACTCATAGAGTTGAACCTTCCTTTTGAGAGAGCAGTGTTGAAACAGTCTTTTTGTAGAATCTGCAAGTGTTCATTTGTAGCGCTTTGAAGCCTATGTTGGAAAAGGAAATATCCTCACATAAATTCTAGACAGAAGCATTCTCAGAATGTTCTTTGCGATGTTTGCATTCAACTCACAGAGTTGAACCTTTCTTTTGATAGAGCAGTTTTGAAACGCTCCTTTTTTAGGATCAGCAAGTGTTCACTTTGTGCGCTATGAGGCCTGTGGTGGAAAAGGGAATATCTTCACATAAAAAAACTAGACAGAAGCATTCTCAGAAACATCTTTGTGATGTGAGCATTCAACTCACAGAGTAGAACCTTTCTTTCGATAGAGCAGTTTTGAAACACTCGTTTTACAGGATCTAAAAGAGTTCACTTTGAGCGCATTGAGGCCTACGGTAGAAATAAAATATCTTCACATAAAACCTAGACAGAAGCGTTCTCAGAAACTTCTTTGTGATGTGTGCATTCAACTCACAGAGTTGAAACTTCCTTTTGTGAGAGAAGTTTTGTATCAGTCTTTTCGTAGAATCTGCCAGAAGGTATTTGGAGCGATTTGAGGCCTATGTTGGAAAAGGAAATATCTTCACATAAAAACTAGACAGAAGCATTCTCTGAAAGTTCTTTGTGATGTGTGCATTCAGCTCACAGAGTTGAAACTTTCTTTTGATAGAGCAGTTTTGAAACACACTTTTTTTAAAATCTAAAACTGTTCATTTGGAGTGCTTTGAGGCCTATGGTGGAAAATGAAATACCTTTACAGAAAAAATAGACAGAAGTATTTTCAAAAACACCTTTGTGATGTGTGTGTTCAATTCACACAGTTGAACCTTTCTTTTGATAGAGCATTTTTGAAACACCTCTTTTGTAGAATCTGCTTTTGGATATTTGGAGCTCTTTGAGAAATTCGTTGTAAACGGGATATCTACACATACAAATTACACAGAAGCATTCTCAGAAACTGCTTTGTGATGTGTGCATTCAACTCACAAAGTTGAACTTTCCTTTTGAGAGAGCAGCCTTGAAACAGTCTTTTTCTAGTATCTGCAAGTGGGTATTTGGAGCGATTTGAGGCCAGTGTGGAAAAGGAAATATCTTCACATAAAAACTAGTCGGAAGCATTCTCAGAAACTGCTTTGTGATGTGTGCATTCACCTCACAGAGTGGAAATCTTCTTTTGATACAGCAGTTTTGAAACATTCTTTTTGTAGAATCTGCAATTGTTCATTTGGAGCGCTTTGAAGCCACAGGTGGAAAAGGAAATAACTTCACATAAAAACTAGACAGAAGCATTCTCAGGAACATCTTTGAGATGTGTGCCTTCAACTAAGGGTTGAACATCTTTTGATAATGCCATATTCAATCACACCTTTTGTAGAATCTGTTTGTGGATATTTGGAACTCTTGGGGAATACGTTGGAAACGGGTATTTTCACATAAAAACTATTCAGAAGCATTCTCAGAAAGTTCTTTTTGATGTGTGCATTCAACTCACAGAGATGAACCTTTCTTATATAGAGTAGATTTGAAACTTTCTTTCTGTATAATCTGCAAGTGTTCATTTTAAGAGCTTTGAGGCACATGGTGGAAAAGGAAATATCTTCACATAAAAAATAGACAGAAGCATTCTCAGGAACTTCTTTGATATGTGTGCATTCAACTAACAGAGTTGAATCTGTGTTTCGATAGAGCAGTATTGAAGCACTCCTTTTGTAGAATCTGCTTGTGGATATTTGGAACTCTTTGAGGAATTGGTTGGAAACGAGTAACTTCATATAAAAACTAGACAGAAGCATTCTCAGAAAGTTTTTTGTGATGTGTGAATTCAACTCACAGAGTTGTACATTTCTTTTGTTAGAGCAGTTTTGAAACACACTTTTTGAGGAACCTCCAGTTGTTCATTTGGATCGCTTTGAGAACTATGGTGGAAAAGGAAATATCTTCACATAAAAACGAGACAGAAGCAATCTCAGAAACATCTTTGTGATGTCTGTGTTCAATTCACAAAGTTGAACCTTTCTTTTGATAGAGCAGTTTTGAAACACTCCTTTTGTAGAATCTGCTTGTGGATATATGAAACTCTTTGAGGAATTCTTTGGAAACGGTCAATCTTTAGAAAATAACTAGACAGAGTATTCTCAGAAACTTCTTTGTGATGTGTGCATTTAACTCACAGAGTTGAACCTTTCTTTTGATAGAGGAGATTTGAAATATTCTTTCTGTATAATCTGCAAGTGTTCATTTTTAGTGCTTTGAGGCCTATGGTGGAAAAGGAAATACCTTCACATAAAAACTAGACTGAAGCATTATCAGAAACACCTTTGTGATATGTGTGTTCAATTCACAGAGTTGAACTTTTCTTTTGAGAGCAGTTTTGAAACACTCATTTTGTAGAATCTGCTTGTGGATATGTGAATCTCTTTGAGGAATTCATTGGAAACAGGCTATCTTCAGAAAAAAACTAGACACAATTATTCTCAGAAAGTTTTTTGTGATGTGTGCCTTCAACTCACACCCTTGATCCTTTCTTCTGATAGAGCAGATTTGAAACATTCTTTCTGTAGTATCTGTAAGTGGTCATTTGGAGCGCTTTGAAGCCTATGGTGGAAAAGGAAATATCATCACATAAAAACTAGACACAAGCATTCTCAGAATCTTTTTTGAGATGTGTGCATTCAACTAACAGAGTTCAATCTGTCTTTTCATAGAGCAGTATTGAAACACTCCCTTTGTAGAATCTACTTGTGAATATTTGGTACTGTTTGAGGAATTCGCTGGAAACTTGTGTCTTCAGAAACAAACGAGACAGAAGTATTCTTAGAAAGTTCTTTGTGATGTGAGCATTCAACTCACAGAGTTGAACCTTTCTTTTGATAGAACGGATTTGAAACATTGTTTCTGAATAATCTGCAGTGTTCATTTTGAGTGCTTTGAGGCCTGTGGTGGAAAAGCAAATATTTTCACATGAAAACGAGACAGAAGAATTCTCACAAACATTTTTGGGATGTGTGCATTCTACTCACAGAGTTGAAACTTCCTTTTGAGAGAGCAGTTTTTAAAGAGTATTTTTGTGCTACCTGCAAGTGGATATTTGGAGCGATTTGAGGCCTATGGTGGAAAAGGAAATATCTTCACATAAAAACTACACAGGAGCATTCTCAGAATCTGCTTTGTGATGTGTGCATTTACCTCCCAGAGTTGAGCCCTTCTTTTCATAGAGCAGTTTTGAAACAGTCTTTTTGTAAAATCTGCAGGTGGATATTTGGAACTCTTTTAGGCCTATGATGGAAAAGGATATATGTTCACGTAAACACTAGACAGAAGCATTCTCCGGAACTTCTTTTTTTGTGTGCATTCATCTCACAGAGTTGAACCTTTCTTTTGACAGAGCAGGTTTGAAACACACTTTTTGTAAAATCTGCAAGTGTTTATTTGGAGAGCTTTGAGGCCTATTGTGGAAAAGGAAATATCTCCACATAAAAACTAGACAGAAGCATTCTCAGAAACTCCTTTTTGATGTGTGTGTTCAATTAACAGTGTTGAACCTTGCTTTTGATAGTGCAGTTTTGAAACACTCCTTTTGTGGAATCTGCTTGTGTATATTTGGAACTCTTTGAGGAATCCGTTGGAAACTGTCTAGCTGCACAAAAATAGTAGACAGAAATATTCTCAGAAAGTTCTTTGTGATGTGTGCATACAACATACAGAGTTGAAAATTTCCTTTTATACAGCAGTTTTGAAACACACTTTTTGTAGAATCTGCAAGTGTTTATTTGGAGCGCTTTGAGGCCTATGGTGGAGAAGGAAATATCTTCTCATAAAAACTAGACAGAAGCATTCTCAGGAACTTCTTTGGGATGTGTGCCTTCAACTAAGAGTTGAACCTGTCTTTTGATAGAGCAGTATTGAAACACTCCTTTTGCAGAATCTCCTTTTGGATATTTGGAACTCTTGTGGAATTCATTGGAAGAGGGTGTCTTCACATAAACGTAGACAGAAGCATTCTCTGAAACTGCTTTGTGACGTGTGCATTCAACTCAAAGACTTGAACCTTCCTTTTCAGATAGCAGTTTTGAAACACTGTTTTTCTAGTGTCTGAAAGTGGATATATGGAGTGATTTGTGGCCTATGGTGGAAAAGGAAATATCTTCACATAAACAAATATCTCAGAAACTGCTATGTGATGTGTGTATTCACCTCTCAGAGTGGAACACTTCTTTTGATAGAGCAGTTTTGAAACAGACTTTTTGTAGAATCTGCAAGAGTTCATTTGGAGCGCTCTGAAGCCTATGGTGTAAAAGGAAATATCTTTACGTAAAAACTAGACAGAAGCATTCTCAAGAACTTCTGTGAGATGTGTGCATTAAACTAACAGATTGAACGTGTCTTTTCATAGAGCAGTATTGAAACACCCATTTTGTGGAATCTGCTTGTGGATATTTGGAGCTCTTTGAGGTATTCGTTGTAAATGTGATATCTACACATACAAAGTAGACAGAAGAATTCTCAGAAACTACTTTTTGATGTGTGCATTCAGCTCACGGAGTTGAACCTTCCTTTTAAGACAGCAGTTTTGAAACACTCTTTTTGTAGTATCTGCAAGTGGATATTTGGAGCGATTTCAGGAATATGATGGAAAATGTAATATCTTCACATAAAAACTAGACAGAAGTATTCTCAGAAACTGCTTTGTGATTTGTGCATTCACCTCACAGAGTTGAACATCTCTTTTAATGGAGCAGTTTTGAAACACTCCTTTTGTAGAATCTGCTTGTGGATATTTGGAGTTCTTTGAGAAATTCGTCGTAAACAATATATCTTAACATACAAACCAGAAGCATTCTCAGAAACTGCTTTGCGTTGTGTGCATTCAACTCATAGAGTTGAACCTTCCTTTTGAGAGAGGAGATTTGAAACAGTGTTTTTGTAGTATCTGCAAGTGGATATTTGGAGCGATTTGAGGCCTATGGTGGAAAAGGAAATATCTTCACATAAAAACTCGATAGAAGCATTCTCACAAACTGCTTTGTGATGTTTGCATTCAACTCAGAGTTGAACCCTTCCTTTGATAGAGCAGTTTTGAAACAGTCTTTTTGAAGACTCTGCAAGTGTTCATTTGGAGCGCTTTGAGGCATATGGTGGAAAAGGTAATGTCTTCACGTAAAACCAGACAGAAGCATTCTGAGAAACTTTTTTGTGATGTGAGCATTCAATTCACAGAGTTGAACGTTTCTTTTGATAGAGCAGTTTGAAAACACTGCTTTTGTAGAGTCTGCTTGTGGATATTTGGAGCTCTGTGAGGAATTCGTGGTAAACGGGATATATACACACACAGTAGACAGAAGAATTCTCAGAAACTGCTTTGTGATGTGTGCATTCAACTCACCGAGTTGAAAAATTCCTTTTCACAGAGTAGCTTTGAAATAGTCTTTTTGAAGCTATTTGCAAGTGGATATTTGCTGCGATTTGAGGCCTATGATGAAAAGGGAAATATCTTCATATAAAAACTAGACAGAAGCATTCTGAGAAAATTCTTTGTGATGTATGCATTCAAATCACAGAGTTGAGCCTTTCTTTTGTACAGCAGATTTGAAACACACTTTTTGTAGAATCTGCTATTGGATATTTGGAGATCTTTGAGGAATTCTTTGTAAAGGGGATATCTTCACATACAAACTTGACAGAAGCATTCTCAGAAACTGCATTGTGATGTGTGCATTCAACTCAGAGAGTTGAACCTTCCTTTTGAGAGGGCAGTTTTGAAACATTCTTTTTGTAGTTTCTGCAAGTGTATATTTGGAGCGATTTGAGGCTTATGTTGGAAAAGAAAATATCATCACATAAAAACTAGACAGAAGCATTCTCAGAAACTGCTTTGTGATGGTTGCATTCACCTCACAGAGAGGAACCCTTCTTTTGGTGGAGCAGTTTTGAAACAATCTTTTTTTGTTTCTACATGTGTTCATTTGGAGCGCTTTGAAGCGTATGTTGGAAAAGGAAATATCTTCACATAAAAACTAGACAGAAGCATTCTCAGGAACTTCTGTGAGATGTGTGCCTTCAACTCACAGATTTGGACCTGTCTTTTGATAGAGCAGTTTTTAAACGCTCCTTTTTTAGAATCTGCTTGTGGATATTTGGAACTCTTTGGGAAATTCTTTGGAAATGGGTACCTTCACATAAAAACTAGACAGAAGCATTCTCAGGAAGTTCTTTGTGATGTGAGCATTTAACTCACAGAGTTGAACATTTCTTTAGGTAGAGCAGTTTTGAAACACAGTTTTTGTAGAATCTGCAAGTGTTCATTTGGAGCGCTTTGAGGCCTATGGTGGAAAAGGAAATATCTTCACATAAAAAATAGACACTAGCATTCTCAGAAACACCTTTGTGATGTGTGTGTTCAATTTACAGAGTTGAAACTTTTCTTTTGATAGAGCAGTTTTGAAACACTATTTTTGTAGAATATGCTTGTGGATATTTGGATGTCTTTGAGGAATTCATTGTAAATGGGATATCTTCACCTACAAACTAGACAAAAGCATTCTGAGAAACTGCTTTGTGATATGTGCATTCAACTCAAAGACTTGAAACTTCCTTTTGAGATAGCAGTTTTGAAACATTCTTTTTCTAGCGTCTGAAAGTGGATATATGGAGCGATTTTTGGCCTATGGTGGAAAAGGTAATGTCTTCACATAAAAACTAGACAGAAGCCTTCTGAGAAACTTTTTTGTGATGTGTGCATTCAATTCTCAGAGTTGAACGTTTCTTTGATAGAGCAGTTTGGAAACACGCTTTTGTAGAATCTGCTTGTGGATATGTGGAGCTCTGTGAGGAATTTGTGGTAAACGGGATATCTACACATACACAGAAGACAGAAGAATTCTCAGAAACTGCTTTGTGATGTGTGCATTCAACTCACAGAGTTGAATATTCTTTTAGACAGAGCAGCTTTGAAACAGTCTTTTTGAAGCTTTTTGCAAGAGGATATTTGCTGCAATTTGAGGCCTATGATGAAAAGGGAAATATCTTCATATAAAAAGTAGACAGAGGCATTCTGAGAAAATTCTTTGTGATGTGTGCATTCAAATCACAGAGTTGAACCTTTCTTTTGGTAGAGCAGATTTGAAATACACCTTTGTAGAATCTGCTATTGGATATTTGGAGTTCTTTGAGGAATTCTTTGTAAAGGGGATAACTTCACATACAAACTAGACAGAAGCATTCTCAGAAACTGCATTGTGATGTGTGCATTCAACTCACAGAGTTGAACCTTCCTTTTGAGAGGGCAGTTTTGAAACAGTCTTTTGGTAGTTTCTGCAAGTGTATATTTGGAGCGGTTTGAGGCCTATGATGGAAAAGAAAATATCATCACATAAAAACTAGACACAAGCATTCTCAGAAACATCTTTATGATGTCTGCATTCACCTCACAGACTGGAACCCTTCTTTTGTAGAGCAGTTTTGAAACAATGTTTTTTTGATTCTACATGTGTTCATTTGGAGCTCTTTAAAGCGTATGTTGGAAAAGGAAATATCTTCACATAAAAACTAGACAGAAGCATTCTCAGGAACTTCTTTGAGATGTGTGCATTCAATTAACAGAGTTGAACCTGTCTTTTGATAGAGCAGTATTGAAACACTCCTTTTGTAGAATCTGGTTTTGGAAATTTGGAACATATGGTGTAATTGGTTGGAAACGGATATCTTCACTTAAAACCTAGACTGAAGCATTCTCAGAAAGTTTTTTGTGATGTTTGCATTCAACTCATACAGTTGAACCTTTCTCTTGAAAGAACAGTTTTCAAACACTCCTTTTGTAGAATCTGCTTGTGGATATTTGGAGCTCTTTGAGGAATTCGTTGTAAATGGGATATCTTGACATAGAAAATAGTAGCATTCTCAGAAACTGCTTTGTGATGTGTTCATTCAACTCACAGAGTTGAACCTTATTTTTGAGAGAGCAGTTTTGAAACAGTCTTTTTGGAGTATCTGCACTTTGATATTTGGAGCGACTTGAGGCCTATGATGGAAAAGGAAATATCTTCATATGAAAAGTAGACAGAAGGATTCTCAGAAACTGCTTTGTGATGTGTGCATTCAACTCACTGAGCTGAACCCTTCCTTTGATAGAGCAGTTTAGAAAGAGTCTTCTTGTAGAATCTGCAAGTGTTCATTTGGAGCCCTTTGAAGCCTATGGTGGAAAAGGTATAATCTTCACATAAAAACTTGACAGAAGCATTCTCAGAAACTTTTTTGTGATGAGTGTATTCAACTCACAGACTTGACCCTTTCTTTTGATAGAGAAGTTTTGAAAGACTCCTTTTGCAGAATATGCTTGTGGATATTTGGAGCTCTTTGAGGAATTCGTTGCAAACGGGATATCTTCACATACAAAATGGGAAGCATTCTCAGAAACTGCTTTGTGATGTGTGCATTCAACTCACAGAGTTGAACCTTCCTTTTGAGAGAGCAGTTTTGAAACAGTCTTTTTGTGGTAGCTGCAAGTGGATATTTGGAGCGATTTGAGGTCTATGGTGGAAAAGGAAATATCTTCCATAAAAAATAGACAGAAGCATTCTCAGCAACTGCTTTGTCATGTGTGGATTCAACTCACAGAATTGAACCCTTCCTTTGACAGAGCAGTTTTGAAACAGTCTTTTTGTAGTATCTGCAAGTGGATATTTGGAGCGTTTTGAGGCCTATGATGGAAAAGGAAATATCTTCATATAAAAACTAGACAGAAGCAATCTCAGAAACTGCTTTGTGATATGTGCATTCACCTCACAGAGTGGAACTCTTCTTTTGACAGAGCAGTATTGGAGCAGTCTTTTCCTAGAATCCGCAAGTGTTTACTTGGAGCGCTTTGAAGCCTATGTTGGAAAAGGAAATATCTTAACGTACAAACTAGACCGAAGCATTCTCAGGAACTTCTGTGAGATGTGTGCATTCAACTCACGGAGTTGAACCTGTCTGTAGATAGAGTAGTGTTGAAAAACTTTTTTTGTAGAATCTGCTTGTGAATATTTGAACTCCTGGAGGATTTTGTTGGAAACGGGATATCTTCACATACAAACTATACAGAAGCTTTCTCAGAAACTGCTTTGTGATGTGTGCATTCAACTCACAGAGTTGAACTTTCGTTTTGGGAGAGCAGTTTTGAAACAGTCTTTTTGTGGTACCTGCATGTGTATATTTGGAGCGATTTGAGGTTTATGGTGGAACAGGAAATGTCTTCACATAAAAACTAGACAGAAGCATTCTCAGAAACTGCTTTGTGATGTGTGCATTCAACTCACAGAGTGGAACCCTTGCTTTAATACAGCAGATTTGAAACAGTCTTTTTGTAGAATCTACAAGTGTTCATTTGGAGCGCTTTGAAGCATATGGTGGAAAAGGAAATATCTTCACCTAAAAACTAGACAGAGGCATTCTCAGGAACAGCTTTGTGATGTATGCATTGAATTAGCAAAGCTGAACCTTTCTTTTCATAGAGCAGTATAGAAAAACTCCTTTTGTAGGATCCGGTTTTGGATATTTGGAACTTATGGTGTAATTATTTGGAAACGTGTATCTTCACATAAAACCTATACTGAAGCATTCTTAGAAAGTTTTTTGTGATGTGTGCATTTAACTCACAGAGTTGAACCTTTCTCTTGATAGAGCAGTTTTGAAACACACATTTTGTAGAATCTGCAAGTGTTCTTTTGAAGGGCTTTGAGGCCTACGGTGGAAAAGGAAATATCTTCACATAAAAACTAGACAGAAGCATTCTCTGAAACACCTTTGTGATGTGAGTGTTCAATTCACAGAGTTGAACCTTTCTATCGATAGAGTAGTTTTGAAACACTCCTTTTGTAGAATCTGCTAATGGATATATGTACCTCTTTGAGGAATTCGTTGGAAACGGTCTCTCTTCACAAAAATAGTAGACAGAAGTATTCTCAAAAAGTTCTTCGTGATGTGCGCATTCACCTCACAGAGTTGAACCTTTCTTTTGATAGAGCTGTTTTGAAACATTCTTTTTGTAGTACCTGCAAGTGGATATTTGGAGCGATTTGAGGCCAATGTTGGAAAAGGACATATCTTCCTATAAAAACTAGACAGAAGCATTCTCAGAAACTGATTTGTGGTGTGTGTGCATTCACCTCAGTGAGTGAAACCCTTCTTTTGATAGAGCAGTTTTGAAACAGTCTTTTTGTAGGATCTGCAAGCGTTCATTTGGAGTGCTTTGAAGCCTATGGTGGAAAAGAAAATATCTTCACATAAAAACTAGACAGAAGCATCTCAGGAACTTCTTTGAGATGTGTGCATTGAATTAACAGAGGTGAACCTGTCTTTTGATAGAGCAATATTGAAAAACTCCTTTTGTAGAGTCTGGTTTTGGATATTTGGAACTTACGGTGTAATTCGTTGGAAACGGGAATCTTCACATAAAACCTAGACTGAAGCATTCTCAGAAAGTTTTTTGTGATGTATGCATTCAACTCAGAGAGTTGAACCTTTCTTTTGATAGAGCAGTTTTGAAACACACTTTTTGTAGAATCTGCAAGTGTTCATTTGAAACGCTTTGAGGACTACGGTGGAAAAGGAAATATCTTCACATAAAAACTAGACAGAAGCATTCTCTGAAACATCTTTGTGATGGGTGTGTTCAATTCACAGAGTTGAACCTTTCTTTTGATAGAGCTGTTTTGAAACACTCCTTTTGTAGAATCTGCTTGTGGATATATGAAACTGTTTGAGGGATTCGTTGGCAACGGGCTATCTTCACAAAAATGTAAGCAGAAGCATTCTCGAAAAGTTCTTTGTGATATGTGCATTCAACTAACGGAGTTGGCCCTTTCTTTTGATGGAGTAGATGTGGAACGTTCTTTCTCTAAAATCTGTAAGTGTTCATTTTGAGCACTTAGAGTCCTGTGGTGGAAAAGGAAATATCTTCACATAAAAACTAGACAGAAGGATTCTCAGACACTGCTTTGTGATGTGTGCATTCAACTCACTGAGTTGAACCCTTCCTTTGATAGAGCAGTTTTGAAGGAGGCTTTTTGTAGTATCTGCAAGTGTTCATTTGGAGCACTTTGAAGCCTATGGTGGAAAAGGTATTATCTTCACATAAAAACTTGACAGAAGCATTCTCAGAAACTTTTTTTTGATGAGTGCATTCAACTCAGAGAGTTGAACCTTTCTTTTGATAGAGCAGTATTGAAAGACTCCTTTTGCAGAATATGCTTGTGGATATTTGAAGCTCTTCGAGGAATTCGTTGCAAACAGGATATCTTCACATACAAAATGGGAAGCATTCTCAGAAACTGCTTTCTGATGTGTGCATTCAACTCACAGAGTTGAACCTTCCTTTTGACAGAGCAGTTTTGAAACAGTCTATTCGTAGTATCTGCAACTGGATATTTGGAGCAATTTGAGGCCTATGATGGAAAAGGAAATACCTTTATATAAAAACTAGACAGATGCATTCTCAGAAACTCCTTTGTGATGTGTGTGTTCAATTCACAGAGTTGAACCTTTCTTTTGATAGAGCAGATTTGAAACACTCCTTTTGTAGAATCTGCTTTTGGATATTTGGAACTCTTTGAGGAATTCGTTGGAAACGGTTGTCTTCACAAAAAAACTAGACAAAAGTATTCTCAGAAAGTTCTTTGTGATGTCTGCATTCATCTCACTGACTTGAACCTTTCTTTTGATAGAACAGATTTGAAACTTTCTTTCTGTATAATCTGCAAGTGTTTGTTTACTTTGAGAGCTTTGGGGCCTATGGTGGAAAAGGAAGTATCTTTACATGGAAACTAGACAGAAGCATTTCCAGAAACTTTTTTGTGATGTGTTCATTAAATTCACAGAGTTAAACTTTTCTTTTGATAGAGCAGTTTTGAAAAACTGGTTTTGTGGAATATGCTTGTGGATATTTGGATCTCTTGAAGGAATTCTTTTAAACGGGATATCTTCACATACAAACGAGACAGAAGCATTCTCAGAAACTGCTTTGTGATGTGGGCATTCAACTCACAGCGTTGAACCTTCCTTTTCAGAGAACATTTTTGAAACTGTCTTTTTGTAGTATCTGCAAGGGGATATTTGGAGTGATTTGAGACTTATGATGGAAAAGGAATAGCTTCACATAAAACTAGACAGAAGTATTCTCAGAAACTGCTTGTGATGTGTGAATTCACCTCACAGATTTGAACCTTTCTCTTGATAGAGCAGTTTTGAAACACACATTTTGTAGAATCTGCAAGTGTTCATTTGAAGTGCTTTGAGGCCTATAGTGGAAAAGGAAATATCTTCATATAAAAACTAGATAGAAGCATTCTCTGAAACACCTTTGTGATGTGTGTGTTCAATTTAGAGTTGAACCTTTCTTTTGATAGAGCAGTTTTGAAACACTCCTTTTGTAGAATCTGCTTGTGGATATATGAAACTCTTTGAGGAGTTCGTTGGAAACGGGCTATCTTCACAATAAAAGTAGACAGAAGTATTCTCAAAAAGTTCTTCCTGATGTGTGCATTCAGCTCACAGAGTTGAACCTTTCTTTTGATAGAGGCTTTGTGGAACATTCTTTCTGTATGATCTGCAAGTGTTCATTTTGAGCACTTAGAGTCTTATAGTGGAAAAGGAAATATCTTCACATAAAAACTAGACAGAAGCATTCTCAGAAACATTTATGTGACGTGTGCATTCAACTGACAGAGTTGAACCTTTCTTTTGATAGTGCAGATTTCAAACACTCCTTTTGTAGAATCTGATTGTGCATATTTGGAACTCCTTGAGTAATTCATTGTAAACGGGATATCTTGACATAGAAAATAGCAGCATTCTCAGAAACTGCTCTGTGATGTGTGCATTCAACTCAAAGAGTTGGACTTTCCTTTTGAGAGAGCAGTTTTGAAACAGTGTTTTCGTAGTATCTGCACGTTGATATTTGTAGCGATTTGAGGCCTATGATGGAAAAGGAAATATCTTCATATAAAAACTAGACAGAAGGATTATAAGAAACTGCTTTGTGATGTGTGCATTCAACTCACTGAGTTGCACCCTTCCTTTGACAGAGCAGTTTTGAAAGAGTCATTTTGTAGAATCTGCAAGTGTTCATTTGGAGCGCTTTGAAGCCTATGGTGGAAAAGGTATTATCTTCACATAAAAACTTGACAGAAGCATTCTCAGAAACTTTTTTGTGATGACTGCATTCAACTCACAGAGTTGAACCTTTCTTTTGATAGAGCAGTTTTGAAAGGCTCCTTTTGCAGAATATGCTTGTGGATATTTGGAGCTCTTTGAGGAATTCGTTGCAAACGGGATATCTTCACATACAAAATGGGAAGCATTCTCAGAAACTGCTTTGTGATGTGTGCATTCAACTCACAGAGTGGAACCTTCCTTTTGAGAGAGCAGTTTTGAAACAGTCTTTTTGTGGTAGCTGCAAGTGGATATTTGGAGCGATTTGAGGGCCATGTTGGAAAAGGAAATATCTTCATATAAAAAATAGACAGAAGCATTCTCAGAAACTGCTTTGTCATGTGTGGATTCAACTCACAGAACTGAACCCTTCCTTTGACAGAGCAGTTTTTAAACAGTCTTTTTGTAGAATCTGCAAGTGATCATTTGGACCGCTTAGATGCCTATGGTGGAAAAGGTAATATCTTCACATAAAAACAGGACAGAAGCATTCTCAGAAACTGCTTTGTGATGTGTGCATTGAACTCAATGAGTTGAACCTTCCCTTTGAGAGAGCAGTTTTGAAACAGTCTTTTTGTAGTACCTGCAAGTGGATATTTGGAGCGATTTGAGGCCAATGTTGGAAAAGGAAATATCTTCCTATAAAAACTAGACAGAAGCATTCTCAGAAACTGCTTTGCGTTGTGTGCATTCACCACACAGAGTGGAACCCTTCCTTTAATAGAGCAGTTTTGGAACAGTCTTTTTGTAGAATCTGGAAGTGTTTATTTGGAGTCCTTTGAAGCCTGTGGTGCAAAAGGAAATATCTTCACATAGAATCCAGACAGAAGCATTGTCAGAAACTCCTTTCTGATGTGTTTGTTCAATTCACAGAGTTGGACCTTTCTTTTGATAGAGCATTTCTGAAACAGTCGTTTTGTAGAATCTGCTTGCGGATATTTGGAACTCTTTGAGGAATTCTTTGGATATGGGCTATCGTCACAAAAAAACTAGACAGATGTATTCTCAGGAAGTTCTTTGTGAAGTGTGCATTCATCTCACAGAGTTGAACCTTTCTTCTGATAGAGCAGATTTGAAACTCTCTTTCTGTATAATTTTCAAGTGTTCATTTTGTGTGCTTTGGGGCCTATGGTGGAAAAGGAAATATCCTCATATGAAAACTAGACAGAAGCATTCCCAGAAACTTCTTTGTGATGTGTCCATTCAATTCTCAGAGTTGAACCTTTCTTTTGATAGAGCAGTTTTGAAACACTGCTTTTGTAGAATCTGCTTGTGGATATTTGGAGCTCTTGAAGGAATTCGTTGTTAACGGGATATCTTCACATACATACTAGACAGAAGTATTCTCAGAAACTGCTTTGTGATGTGTGCATTGACCACACAGAGGGAAAAACTTCTTTTGATAGAGCAGGTTTGAAGCAGTCTTTTTGTAGAATCCCCAAGTGTTCATTTGGAGCGCTTTGAAGCCTATGGTGGAAAAGGTATTACCTTCACAGGAAAACTAGACAGAAGCAATCTCAGAAACTTCTTTGTGATGTGTGCATTCAACTCACAGATTTGAACCTTTCTTTTGATAGTGCAGTTTTGAAATACTCCTTTTGTAGAATCTGCTTCTGTATATTTGGAGCACTTTGAGGAATTCACTGTAAAGGGGATATCTTCACATACAAAATGGAAGCATTCTCAGAAACTGCTTTGTGATGTGTGCATTCAACTCACAGAGTTGAACCTTATTTTTGAGAGAGCAGTTTTGAAACAGTCTTTTTGTGGTACTTGCAAATGCATATTTGGAGCGATTTGAGGCCTATGATGGAAAACGAATTATCTTCACATAAAAACTAGACAGAAGCATTCTCAGAAACTGCTTTGTGATGTGTGCATTCAACTCACAGAGTTGAACCTTGCTATTTGAGACAGCAGTTTTTAAACAGTGTTTTTGTAGTATCTACAAGTGGATATTTGGAGAGATTTGAGGCCTATGATGGAAAATGAACTATCTTCACTTAAAAACTAGACAGAAGCATTCTCAGAAACTGCTTTGTGATGTGTGCATTCAACTCACAGAGTTGAACCTTGCTATTTGAGACAGCAGTTTTTAAACAGTGTTTTTGTAGTATCTGCAAGTGGATATTTGGAGAGATTTGAGGCCTATGTTGGAAAAGGAAATATCTTCATAAAAAAACTGGACATAAGCATTCTCAGAAACTCATTTGTGATGTGTGCATTCACCTCACAGAGTTGAACCTTTCTTTTGATAGAGCAGTTTTGAAACACACTTTTTGTAGAATCTGCAAGTGTTCATTTGAAGCGCTTTGAGGACTACGGTGGAAAAGGAAATATCTTCACATAAAAACTAGACAGAAACATTCTCTGAAACATCTTTGTGATGGGTGTGTTCAATTCACAGAGTTGAACCTTTCTTTTGATAGAGCTGTTTTGAAACACTCCTTTTGTAGAATCTGCTTGTGGATATATGAAACTGTTTGAGGAATTCATTGGCAACGGGCTGTCTTCACAAAAAAAGTAAGCAGAAGCATTCTCGAAAAGTTCTTTGTGATGTGTGCATTCAACTCACAGAGTTGAGCCTTCCTTTTGAGAGAGCAGTTTTGAAACAGTGTTTTTGTAGTATCTGCATGTGGATATTTGGAGCTATTTGAGGCCTATGATGGAAAAGGAAATATCTACACATAAAAAGTAGACAGATGCCTTCTCAGAAACTGCTTTGTGATGTGTGCATTCAACTCACACAGTTTCACCCTTCCTTTGATAGAGCAGTTTTCAAACAGTCTTTTTGTAGAATCTGCAAGTGTTCATTTGGAGCTCTTTGAAGCCTATGGTAGTAAAGGTAATATCTTCACATAAAAACTAGACAGAAGTGTTCTCAGAAACTTTTTTGTGATGTGGGCATTCAATTCACAGAGTTGAACCTTTCTTTTCATGGAGCAGTTTTGAAACACTCCTTTGGTAGTATCTGCTTGTGGATATTTAGAGCTCTTCGAGGAATTCGTTATAAACGGGCTATCTTCACATACAAACTAGACAGAAGCACTCTTAGAAACTGCTTTGTGATGTGTGCATTCAACTCAAAGAGTTGATCCGTCCTTTTGAGAGAGAAGTTTTGAAACAGTCTTTTTGTGGTACCTGCAAGTGGATATTTGGAGCGATTTGAGGCCTATGGTGGAAAACGAAATATCTTCACATAAAAACTGGAAAGAAGCATTCTCAGAAACTGGTTTGTGATGTGTGCATTCAACTCACAGAGTTGAGCCTTTCTTTTGATAGAGCAGTTTTGAAACAGTCTTTTTCTAGAATCTGCCGGTGGATATTTGGAGCGATTTGAGGGCTATGTTAAAAAAGGATGTATCTTCACATAAAAACTAGACAGGAGCATTCTCAGGAACTTCTTTGTGATGCGTGCATTCAGCTAACAGAGTTGAACCTTTCTTTTGACAGAGCAGTTTTGAAACACTCCTTTTGTAAATCTGCAAGTGTTCATTTGGAGAGATTTGAGGCCTATGGTGGAAAAGGAAATATCTTCACATAAAAACTTCACAGAAGCATTCTCACAAACTTTTTTGTGATGTGTGCATTCAATTCACAGAGTTGAACCTTTCTTTTGATAGAGCAGTTTTGAAACACTGCTTTTGTACAATCTGCTGGTGGATATTTGGAGCTCTTTGAGGAATTCGTTGTAAACGGGATATCTTCACAAACAAACTAGATAGAAGAATTCTCAAAAACTGCTTTATGATGTGTGCATAACACTCACAGAGTTGGACCTTCCTTTTGAGAGAGCAGTTTTGAAACTGTGTTTTTGTAGTATCTGCAAGTGTATATTTGGAGCGATTTGAGGACTATGATGGAAAAGGAAATATCTTCACATAAAAACTACACAGAAGCATTCTCAGAAACTGCTATGTGATGTGCGCATTCACCTCACAGTGTGGAACCCTTCTTTTGATAGAGCAGTTTTGAAACAGTCTTTTTGTAGAATCTTCAAATGTTCATTTGGAGCGCTTTGAAGCCTAAGGTTGAAAAGGAAATATATTCACATAAAAACTTGACAGAGAAATTCTCAGGAATTTCTTTGAGACGTGTGCATTCAACTAACAGAGTTGAATCTGTCTTTTGATAGAGCAGTATTGAAACACTTCCTTTTGTGGAATCTGCCTGTGGCTATTTGGAACTCTTGGGAATTCGTTGGAAACGTGTATCTTCACATAAAACCTAGACAGAAGCATTCTCAGAAAGTTCTCTGTGATGTGTGTATTCAACTCACAGAGTTAAACTTTTCCTTTTATAGAGAAGTTTTGAAACACAATTTTTGAAGAATCTGCTTGTGGATATTTGGAGCTCTTTGAGGAATTAGTTGTAAACTGGATATCTTCACATAGAAACCAGACAGAAGCCTTCTCAGAAACTGCTTTGTGATGTGTGCTTTGAACTTACAGAGTTGAACCTTCCTTTTAAGAGAGGAGTTTTGAAACAGTCTTTTTGTAGTATCTGCAAGTGGGTGTTTGGAGCGAGTTGAGGCCTCTGATGGAAAAGCAAATATCTTCACATAAAAACTGGACAGAAGCATTCTCCGAAAGTAGTTTGTGATGTGTGCATTGAACTCACAGAGTTGAACCTTTCTTTTGATAGAGCAGTTTTGAAAGACACTTTTTGTAGACTCTGCAAGTTTTCATTTGGAGCGCTTTGAAGCCTATGGTAGAAAAGATAGTATCTTCACATAAAAACTGGACAGAAGAATTCCCAGAAACTTTTTTGGGATATGTGCATTGAACTCAAGAGCTGAACGTTTCTTTTGATAGAGCAGTTTAGAAACACACTTTTTGTAAAATCTGCAAGTGTTCATTTGGAGTGTTTTGAGGCCTATGGTGGAAAAGGAAATATCTTCACTTAAAAACTAGACAGAAGCATTCTCAGAACCTTTTTGTGGTGTGTGCATTCAATTCACAGAGTTCTACCTTTCTTATGATAGAGCAGTTCTGAAACACTCCTTTCGTAGAATCTGCTTGTGGATATTTAGAACTCCTTGAGGAATTCTTTGGAAACGGGCTGTCTTCACAGAAAAGCCACATGATGTGTGCATTCAACTCACAGAGTTGAACCTTTCTTTTGATAGAGCAGTTTTGAAACACACTTCTTGTAGTACCTGCTTGTGGATATGTGCAGGTCTTTGAGGAATTCGTTGTCAACGGGATATCTTCACATAAAAACTAGACAGAAGCATTCTCAGAAAGTTATCTGTGATGTGTGCATTGAACTCACAGAGTTGAACCTTCCATCTGAGAGAGCAGTTTTGAAAAAACCTTTTTGTAGTATCTGCAAGTGGATGTTTGGAGCGATTTGAGGCCTATGATTGAAAAGGAAATATCTTCACATAAAAACTAGACATTAGAATTCTCAGAAACATTTTGTGATGTGTACGTACAACTCACGGAGTTGAACCTTTCTTTTGATAGAGCAGTTTTTAAATACACTTTTTGTAGAATCTACAAGTGTTCATTTGGAGTGCTTTGAAGCCTTTGGTGGAAAAGGAAATATCTTCACATAAAAACTAGACAGAAGCATTCTCAGGAACTTCTTTGAGATGTGTGCATTCAACTAACAGATTTTAATCTGTCTTTTGATAGAGCAGTATTGAAACACTCTTTTTGTAGTATCTGCTTGTGGATATTTGGAACTCTGGGAATTCGTTGGAAACGGGTATTTTCACATGAAAACTAGACAGAAGCATTCTCAGAAAGTTCTTTGTGATGTGTGCATTCAACTCACAGAGTTGAACCTTTCTTTTGATAGAGCAGTTTTGAAACACTGCTTTTGTAGAATCTGCTTGTTGATATTTGGAGCTATTTGAGGAATTTGTTGTAAACGGCATATCTTCACATACAAACTAGACAGAAGCATTCTCAGAAACTTCTTTGTGATGTGTGCATTCAACTCAGAGAGTTGAGCCTTTCTTTTGATAGAGCAGTTTTGAAACACTCTTTCCCTAAAATCTGCAAGTGTTCATTTGGAGAACTTTGAGGCCTATGGTAGAAAAGGAAATATCTTCACATAAAAACTAGACAGAAGCATTCTCAGAAAGTTCTTTGTGATGTTTGCATTCAACTCACACAATTGAACCTTCCTTTTGTGTGGGCAGTTTTGAAACAGTCTTTTTGTAGAATCTGCAAGTGGATATTTGGAGTGATTTGAGGACTATGGTGGAAAAGCAAATATCTTCACATAAAAACTAGACTGAAGCATTCTCAGGAACTTCTTTGTGATGTGTGCATTCAACTCAGAGAGTTGAACCTTTGTTTTGATAGCACAGTTTTGAAACACACTTATTGTAGAATCTGCAAGTGTTTATTTGGAGCGCTTTGAGGCCTGTGGTGGAAAAGGAAATATCTTCACATATATACTAGACAGAAGCATTCTCAGAAATTTCTTTGTGATGTGTGCATTCAACTCACAGAATTGAACCTTCCTTTTGAAGAGCAGTTCTGAAACACAGTATTTGTAGAGTCTTCCAGTGAATATTTGGAGCAATTTGAGGCCTATGGCGGAAAAGGGAATGTCTTCACATGAAAACTAGACAGAAGCATTCTCAGAAACTTTTTTGATGTGTGCATTCAACTCACAGAGTTGAACCTTTCTGTTGATGGAAGAGTTTTGAAACAATCCTATTGTAGAATCTCCTTGTGGATATTTGGAGCTCTTTGAGGAATTCATTGGAAACGGGATGCCTTCACATAAAAGCTAGGCAGAAGCATTCTCAGAAAATTCTTAGTGATGTGTGCATTCAACTCACAGAGTGCAAGATTTCTTTTGATAGAGCTATTTTGAAACAGTCCTTTTTTAGAATCTGAAAGTGTTCATTTTGAGCACTTTGAGGCCTGTGGTGGAAAAGGAAATATCTGCACATAAATACTGGACAGAATCATTCTCAGAAACTTCTTTGTGATGTGTGCATTCAACCCACAGATTTGAAACTTCCTTTGCAGAGAGCAGTTTTGAAACAGTCTTTTTGTAGTATCTGAAAGTGGATATTTGGAGCGATTTGAGGCCTATGATGGAAATGGGAATATCTTCACGTAAAAACTAGACCGAAGCATTCTCAGGAACTCCTTTGTGATGTGTGTATTCAACTAACAGATTTGAACCTTTCTTTTGATATTGCAATTTTGAAACACTCTTTTTGTAGAATCTGCAAGTGTTCATTTGGAGTGCTTGGAAGCCTATGGTGGAAAAGGAAATATCTTCACATAAATACAAGACAGAAGCATTCTCAGAAACTTCTTTGCCATGTGGCATTCCACTCACAGAGTTGAACCTTCCTTTTGACAGATCAGTTTTGAAACAGTGTTTTTGTAGAATCTGCAAGTGGATCTTTGGAGGGTTTTGAGGCCTATGGTGGAAAAGGGAATATCTAGAGAGGAAAATTAGACAGAAGCATTCTTAGAAATTTGTTTGTGATGGGTGCATTCAACCAGCAGAGTTGAAACTTCCTTTTGAGTGAGCACTTTTCAAACAGTCTTTTCATAAAATCGGCAGGTGGATATTTGGAGCGATTTGAGGCCTATTGTGGAAAAGGGAATAACTTCACATGAAAACTAGACAGAAGCATTCTCAGAATCTTCTTTGTGATGTGTGCATTCAACTCACAGAGTTGAACCTTCCTTTTGATAGAGCAGTTTTGAAACCCTCTTTTGTAGAATCCGCTTGTGGATATTAGGAACTCTCTGAGGAATTCGTTGGAAATGGGATATCTTCACATAAAACTAGACAGAAGCATTCTCACAAACTTCTTTGTAATGTGTGCATTCAACTAACAGAGTTCAATAGAGCAGATTTGAAAGAATCTTTTTGTAGAATGTGCAAGTGTTCATTTGGATCGCTTTGAGGCCTTCATTGGAAATGGAATATCTTCTCATAAAAACTGGACAGAAGCATTCTCAGAAACTTCTTTGTGATGTTTGCATTCAACTCACAGAATGGAACCTTTCTTTTGACAGAGCAGTTTTGAAAGAGTTTTTTTTGTAGAATCTGCAAGTGGATATTTGGAGCGATTTGACGCCTATGTTGGCAAAGGGAATATCTTCACGTGAAAACTAGACAGTAGCATTCTCAGATTCTTCTTTGTGATGTGTGCATTCAAATAACAGAGTTGAACCTTTCGTTTGATAGCACAGTTTTGAAACTCTCCTTTTGTAGAATCTGCCTTCGGATATTTGTAGATATTGGAGGCCTTCTTTTGAACCGGGAGTATCTTCACATAAAAACTAGACAGAAACATTCTCAGAAAGTTCTTTGTGATGTGCGCATTCAACTCACAGAGTTGAACTTCCTTTTGATGGAGCAGTTTTGAAACAATGTTTTTGTAGCATCTGCAAGTGTTCATCTGGAGAGCTTTGTGGCCTGTGGTGGAAAAGGAAATATCTTCACATGAAAAATAGACAGAAGCATTCTCAGAAACTCCTTTGTGATGTGTGTGTTCAATTCACAGAGTTGAACCTTTCTTTTGTAAGAGCAGTTTTGAAACACTGCTTTTGTAGAATCAGCTTTTGGATATTTGGAACTCTTTGAGGAATTCGTTGGAAATGGGCTATTTTCAGGAAAAAACTAGACAGAAGCATTATCAGAAAGTTATTTGTGATGTGTGCATTCAACTCACAGAGTTGAACCTTTCTTTGCACAGAGCAGTTTTGAAATATTCTTTCTCTATAATCTGCAAGTGTACATTTGGAACGCTTTGATTCCTATAGTGGAAAAGGAAATATCTTCACATAACACTAGACAGAAGAATTCCCAGAAAGTTCTTTGTGATGTGTGCATTCAACTCACACAGTTGAACCTTCCTTTTGAGAGAGCAGTTTTGAAACAGTCTTTTTGTAAAATCTGCCAGTGAATATTTGGAGCGATTTGAGGAATCGGACATATCTTCACATAAAAACTAGACAGAAGCATCCTCAGGAACTTCTTTGTGATGTGTGCATTCAACGAACAGAGTTAAACCTTGCTTTTCATAGAGCAGTTTTGAAACACTTTTGTAGAATCTGCAAGTATTCATTTGGAGCACTTTGAACGGAATGGTGGAAAAGGAAATATCTTCACATAAAAACTAGACAGAAGCATTTTCAGAATGTTCTTTGTGATGTGTGCATTCAACTCACAGAGTTGAACGTTTCTTTTGATAGAGCAGTTTTGAGACAATCTTTTTACAGAATCTGCAAGTGTTCATTTGGAGCGCTTTGAGGCCTGTGGTGGAAAGGGAAATATCTTCACATAAATACTAGACAAAAGAATTCTCAGAAACTTCTTTGTGATGTGTGACTTCAACTCACAGATTTGAAACTTCCTTTTGTGAGAGTAGTTTTGGAACAGTGTTTTTGTAGAATCTGCCAAGGCATATTTGGAGCGATTTGAGGCCTATGTTGGAAAAGGAAACAATATCTTCACATAAAAACCAGACAGACGCATTCTCAGGAACTTCTTTGTGATATGTGCATTCAACGAACAGATTTGCAGCTTTCTTCTGATAGAGCAGTTTTGAAACACACTTTTTGTAGAATCTGAAAGTGTTCATTTGGAGCCCTTTGCGGCCTTCATTGGTAACAAGAATATATTCTGATAAAAACTAGACAGAAGCATTCTCAGAAACTGCTTTGTGATGTGCGCATTCAACTCACAGAGTTGAAATGTTCTTTTGATAGAGCAGATTTGAAAGTTTTTTTGTAGAATCTGCAAGTGTTCATTTGGAGCGATTTAAGGCCTATGTTGGAAAAGGGAATATCTTCTCATAAAAACTAGACAGACGCTTTCTCAGAAACTCCTTTGCCATGTGTGCATTCAAATCACAGAGTTGTACCTCCCTTTTGGCAGAGCAGTTTTGAAACAATGATTTGGAGATTCTGCCAGTGAATATTTGCAGCGATGTGAGGCCTGTGGTGGAAAAGGGAATATCTTCACATGAAAACTAGGCAGAAACTTACTCAAAAACTTTTTTGTGATGTGTGCATTCAACTCACAGAGTTGAACATTTCTTTTGATAGAGCAGTTTTGAAACTCTCCTTTTGTAGAATCTGCTTGTGGATATTTGGAGATATTTGAGGCCTTTGTTGGAAACGGGAATATCTTCACATAAAAACTAGACAGTAGCATTCTCAGAAAATTCTTTGTGATGTGTGCATTCAACTCACAGATTTGAACCTTTCTTTTGATAGAGCAGTTTTGAAACAATCTTTTTGTAGAATCTGCAAGGGTTCATTGGAGCGCTTTGAGGCCTATGGTGGAAAAGAAAATATCTTCACATTAAAAACTAGACAGTAGCATTCTCAGAAACTTCTTTGTGATGTGTGCATTCACCACACAGATTTGAACCTTTCTTTTTAGAGAGCAGTTTTGAAACAATCTTTTTGTAGAATATGCAAGTGTTCATTTGGACGCTTTGACGCCTATGGTGGAAAAGGAAATATCTTCACATAAAAACTAGACAGAAGCATTCTCAGAAACGTTTTGTGATTTGTGCATTCAACTCACAGATTTGAAACGTCCTTTTCAGAGATGAGTTTTGAAACAGTCTTTTTGTAGAATCTGCCAGTGGATATGTGGAGCGATTTGAGGCCTATGTTGGAAAAAGAAATATCTTCACATAAAAACTAGACAGAAGCATCCACATGAACTTCTTTTTGATGTGTGCATTCAACTCACAGAGTGTAACCTTTCTTTTGATAGAGCATTTTTGAAACACTCTTTTTGTAGAAGCTGCAAGTGTTCATTTAATGCGCTTTGAGGCCTATGGTGGAAAAGGAAATATCTTCACATAAAAACCATAAAGAAGCATTCTCAGAAACTTCTTTTTGATATGTGCATTCAACTCACAGAGTTGAACTTCCTTTTGACAGAGCTGTTTTGAAACAGTCTTTTTGTAGAATCTGCAACTGGATTTTGTAGAATCTGCAGCCCAGTCCCTTTGGTTCCATAACATTCGTTTCCACCAGAAGATCAAGGGAGTCAGTCCACCCAGGAGCAGAGGAGAGGATGTCCCTCAAGAATGAGACAGGAAGTGCAGAGGAACTGTGACACCACCTGTTCTAGAAGACAGGGCCAGTCACCGTCGCCTAGGGCTCATTCTAGGCAATCCACCCACCCATGAGGGGAAACGTGGAGAAGAAGGAAGCTTCCCTGCCTTAGTTACGTAGGGAAACCAAGAGCTCCAGGGTCATGAGACCTCCCCAGTCAAGCAGAAACACGTTTGGAGAGAGAAAAAATCATGACACGGATCTCCAGGAAGTGACTCCCTGACTCACTGGGTAGTCATCTTTGTTGATGACATTTGGCCAGAACGAGGGGCATCCAGGCCCCTGAGAAACAGGGGAGGCACAGCAAGAGTGAGGACAGAGCAGAAGCCGGGGCGCAGGCAGCATACAGCACCGTCCCACTGCCACTGGCATAAGGGGAGGGGTTCCAAAAGGGTGGCTTGTCCGGAGAGGCCAGCGTTCCAGTGACAGGGGTTGTTGTCATCTCCCATTCCTGGCTTCCTCTTGCAGACTGTATCGTGGTGTGGCTTCATTACTCAGAGAAGAGTCGTGAAAAGATAAAAGCATCCTCTCTGACGTGGGTCCTCTGCTCTCCTCCCGGACAAAGAGCTCCTTGGGCCTCTTGTCCTCGGCTGCAGTGTGTTCATCTTGACCCTAGAAAAGAGGCCACTCAGGATGGGGATGAGATTTCAATTGCTCTGGGACCGACGCATCTCCTCACGTAGGCCAGGCCTTCACACACCCAAAGCGGATCCGCGGCAGCGAAAACGACTGATAACCGGCCTCATGATCCAGGCAGAGACACAGAAAGAGGCTCACCAAAGACAGGCCGCCATGCGAGAATCCGCTTTGTGACGCACAGGACACATTCGGCCAAAGACACACTGGCACACGGGCACACACACACAAACTGGCAGAGAGAGGGAAAGAAACACACAGAGACTGAGAGACAGAGAGAGAAGAGGGAATGGGAGACACACACCCAGACACACACAGACACACACACAGACACACACCCGGAGTCATACAGCAGAGGCATTGAAACACACCCCCCCCCCCCCGGCAACCCCTGAAGCTGCAGGGTTCTGCTCTCGATGAGAACGACCGTCGGGTGAGAGAGCAGCCCAGGGGCACGCAGGCGGACCTGTCCTCCAGATCACGGCAGCACGACTTTTGGGGAGACTCACCGCAACCAACACCATCCGTGCAGGCCTGGGGCTGGGATGCCGTGCTGCTTCCCCCGGACTCCGCCTGGGGTTTCCTCATCCTGGTCGGCCCTTTGCGACTCCTGGCATCTGGAGAGGTTCCCGTAGACCCCGTGGAAAGGTCAGGCCGGAGCCTCAGAGCCCCGACACCCAAGCACTGCCGTGGAGGGCTCCTGCTTTGCCAAGCCTCGGGGACTGGTTTCTAAGACAACCCTGGGAACCACTGTGACGCGAGAAGCCGCTCGCGTCTCCCGCATGCGCATTGGTTGGGCCGACTGGCGCTCCGCTACTGGCTGTCAGGCTGAGTCACCTTTAAATAATGCCGCCGCCACGCAGCGGCAGCGAGGCTCCTGCTGCAGCCGAGGCGGCAGCTGGATCCCGGGTCCAGTTTGGGTCGGCGTGGGAAAGGGGCCGCTGGTGTCCTGTCAAAGGGCGAAACACCCAGGAGTCCTCTCCTCAGGACCTCCTTGAGCCGACTTCCACCGAGGGAGGGGGAGCTTCAGGATGCCTGCTGTGTTCTCAGGACTCCCCGTCAGATATGATTTTGGCCTCCTCCGAGTGAGATAGGATGGGCTCACCACATGTGGTGAGACAGGCAGGGCCTCCCTGCAGCACAGAACGATCCCATAGGAATCAAGGCCCAGTGTCAGCTGCAAGTGCACTGATCCATCAGCCCTCTGCTTCCCTCATCCTTTGAAAGAGCAGTGGCCTGCCCCGCTTCTAAAAGCCCTGGGGCTCCGGAAAGCCGACCGCACTTCACAGGACACGTGCAAACAGGAATAGGGGCGAATCCGAAGTGGAGATCACGTGACCATGCGTGGTACTGGCATGTCCCACAGCAGATGGTGTGAATGTGTGTCACCGGAGGCATACAGGGCGACGGCGAAACAGATGGTGGTGTCCAGGCATGTGCCGGTGGAAGGGGGGAAGGAGTGACCTTTCCGTCAATGCCAAGGAAAATGGAAGAACACCGGGGACCCGGGGGGTTGGGGGGGGGGTGTGCCCAACCCAAGCCACCTTTTCAAATGCCTACCAGACGGGCAAAGAGCTTTCTGCAAAATTCACCCCACTCCCAACCCTCCACTGCCCTGGTAGCCCTGATGTAACTTCAGCTGCACCCAGCGCCAGCTCCAGCCCCAGCCCCAGCCCCAGCCCAGTCCCTTTGGTTCCCTGACATTCGTTTCGGCCAGAAGATCAAGGAAGTCAGTCCACCCAGGAACAGAGGAGAGGATGTCCCTCAAGAATGAGACAGGAAGTGCAGAGGAACTGCGACACCACCTGTCCTGGAAGACAAGGCCAGTCATCATTGCCTACAACTCATTCTAGGCAATCCGCTTACCCATGAGGGGAAACGTGAAGTAGGAAGCTTCCCTGCCTGAGATATGTAGGGAAGCCAAGAGCTCCAGGGTCATGAGACTTGCCCAATGAAACAGAAACACGTTTGGAGAGAGAAACAATCATGACACGGATCTCCAGGAAGTGTCTCCCTGACTCACTGGGAAGCCATCTTTGTTGAAGACATTTGGCCAGAGCGAGAGGCATCCAGGCCCCTGAGAAACAGGGGAGGCACAGCAAGAAGGAGGACAGAGCAGAGGCAGGGGACCAGGCAGGATAGACCACCATGCCACTGCCACGGGCATAAGGGGAGGGGTTCCAAAAGGGTGGCTTGTCCAGAGAGGCCAGCGTTCCAGTGACAGGGATTGTTGCCATCTCCCATTCCTGGCTTCCTCTTGCAGACTGTATCGTGGTGTGGCTTCATTTCTCAGAGAAGAGCCGTGAAAAGATACGAGCATCTTCTCTGACGTGGGTCCTCTGCTCTCCTGCGGGACAAAGAGCTCCTGTGGGGCTCTTGTCCTCAGCTGCAGTGTGTTCATTCTGACCCTAGAAAAGAGGCCGCTCAGGATGGGGATGAGATTTCAATTGCTCTGGGACCGACGCATCTCCTCACGTGGGCCAGGCCTTCACACACCCAAAGCAGATTCGCGGCGGCAGAAACGATTGACAACTGGCCTCCTGACCCAGGCAGAGACGCAGAAAGAGGCTCACCTAAGACAGGCCGCCATGTGAGAAACCGCATTGTGGTGCACAGGGCACATTCAGCCAAAGACACACACGCACAAACCGACAGAGAGAGGGAAAGAAACACACAGAGACTGAGAGACAGAGAGAGAAGAGAGAATGGGAGACACACACCCAGACACACACACACACACACACACACACACACACACAGACAGACACACACCCAGAGTCATACAGCAGAGGCATTGAAACACACCCCCAGGCAACCCCTGAGGCTGCGGGGTTCTGCTCTCCACGAGAACGACCCCCGGGTGAGAGAGCAGCCCAGGGGCACGCAGGTGGACCTGGCCTGCAGATCACAGAGGCACGACTTTTGGGGAGACTCACCCCAACCAACACCGTCCAGGCAGGCCTGAGGCTGGGATGCTGTGCTGCTTCCCCCGGACTCCGCCTGGGGTTTCCTCATCCTGGTCGGCCCTTTGCCACTCCTGGCATCCGGAGACGTTCCCGTTGACCCTATGGAGAGGTCAGGCCGGAGCCTCAGAGCCCGACACCCAATCACTGCCACGGAGGGCTCCTGCTTTGCCAAGCCTTGGGGACTAGTTTCTAAGACAATGGTGGGTAGCACTGTGACGTGAGAAGCTGCTCGTGTCTTGCGCATGCGCGTTGGCTGGGCCGACTCGCGCTCCACTCCTGGCAGTCAGGCTGTGTCCGCTTTAAATTAGGCGGCGGTTACACGGGGGCAGCGAGGCTCCTGCTGCAGCCGCGGTGGCTGCTGGATCCGGGGTCCAGTTTGGGGCGGCGTGGGAGAGGGGACCGTGGGTGTCCTGTCCCAGGGTCAAACCCCCAGGAGTCCTGTCCTCATGACCTCCTTGAGCCGACTTCCACCAAAGGAGGGGGAGCTTCAGGGCGCCTACTGGGGTCTGGGGACTCCCCTTCAGATCCAATTTTGGCCCCCTCCGAGTGAGATAGGATGGGCTCACCACATCTGGTGAGGCAGGCAGGGCCTCCCTGCAGCACAGATCGATCCCATGTGTCTCAGGGCGTGTTGTCAGCTGAAAATTCACTGATCCATCAGCCGTCTGCCTCCCTCCTCCTTTGAAAGAGCAGTGGACTGCCCAGCTTCTAAAAGCTCTGGGCCTCCCGAAAGCCGACAGCGCTTTACAGGACACGTGTGTACAGGAACAGGGGTGAATCCGAGGTGGAGACCATGGGGCCACACGTGGTACTGGCATATCCCACAGCAGATGGTGTGATTGTGTGTCACTGGAGGCATATGGGGCGACGGCGAAATAAATGGTGGCTTGTGCCTGGTGGAAGGGGGAACAAGTGACCTTCTCGTCAATGCCAAAGAGTATCAAAGTACACCTGGGAACCAGGAGGGGACCTGTGCCTGACCAAAGCCCCATTTTGAAATGCCTGCCCGAGAAGCAAAGAGGTTTCTGCAAAATTCACCCTACCTCCAACCCTCCACCGCCCAGGTAGCCCTTACTCCACCTCCCCTGCACCGAGCCCCAGTCCTGGAAACCAGCAGCCCTGGAAGCCTTGGAAACCGTGGAACAACTGGAAACCACCGCCAAGGGCATAAGCGGAGGAGTGCCAAACGGGTGACTTGTCCTGAGAGGCTTGCTTTCCACTGACAGGCATCCTTGTTGTGTCCCGTTTTCAGCTGCTTCTTGAAGATTGTTTCGTAGTGTGGCTTCATTTCTCAGAGAAGAGCCATGAGGAGAAAGAACCATCTCTTTTCACATTGGTCCCTCCCCTCCTGGAAAACAATGAGCTCCTTGTAGCTTTTTTTTTTTTTTTTTTGGTTGGAGTGTGGTCATCTTGATTCTAGAAAAGAGGTAGCTCAGTATCGGGATGAAATTTCATTTTCTCTGAGACCGACGCTTTTCACATTGTTGAGGTCTTCAGAAAGCCAAAGTGGAACCGCCGCAGAAATGATTGACAGCAGCCCACATGATCCAGGCAGAGACGCAGACAGGAGCCCACGAAAGACACTCTGACATGCATGAGATCGCTTTGTAGTGCACTGGGCACATAAACACACACGCACACGGGCGCACACACACACACAGAGAGAGAGAAAGTGAGAGAAACAGACAGAGAGTGAGTGACAGAGAGAGAAGAGAGAATGGGAGACACACGCACCAGACATACAGCAGTGGCAGAGGGACACACACCCCAGGCAATCACTGAGACTGCGGGTTTCTGCTCTTTGGGAGAATGACCCTCGGGTGGCAGAGTAGTCCTTGGGCACACAGGCAGACCTGTCCTCGAGATCACGAGGGGCACGACTTTGGGGGACTCACCCAAACACCGTACTGGCAGGCCTGAGGCTGGGATGCCACACTGCTTTCCCCGGACTGTCTGCTGTTTCTGCATCCTGGTAGCCCCTCCGTGTAGCATAGTGTCCCGAATCTGTTTTGTCGACCCCCTGGATTGGTCAGGCTGGAGCCTCGACACCAACGCACTGCCACGGAGGGCCCCTGCTTTGTCAAGGCTCAGGGAATCGTCCTCAGCCAACCGTTGGAGTCACCGTCACAGGAGAATGGGTTCATGCCTCCTGCATGCACATTGCCCAGGCCGACTCCTGCTTTCCTCTTCAAACTCCGGCTGTGGCCCCTTTAAACAGGTTCGGCAACACGTGGCAGGGTTTCTGTGGCAGTAGCAGTGGCGGCTGGAGCGGGGATGTAGTAGAGGGCGTTATGGGAGTGGGGGCTTCTGGTCCTCCAGGGCCGGACCCCCGGGAGTCCTGTTCTCAGAACCTCCTTGAGCCGACTTCTACCGGTGCAGGGGGACCCCCACTTCAAGGCGCCAGGTTGGGTCTCCGGACTCACAGGCTGGAGTGCATTGTGGTGATCAGAGCTCACTGCAGCCTCAATCTCCCAGGCTGAAGCGATTTTCTTGCCTCAGCCTCCCACATACCTGGGACTACAGGCATGTGCCCCCACACTCAACTACTTTCCTCCAAAAACATTTTTGTACGAATGGGGACTTACTATGTTGCCTGGCTCATGTCAAACTCCTGGGCTCAAACTGTCCTCCTGTGTTGGCCTCCTCAAGTGCTGAGATTACAGGTGTGAGATTGTTCCTGCAGCTAAATTCTTATATCTTAAATCCCTACCTCCCACAATAAGCAGATGTTAGGCCCACTTATTTTATAACTTTTTGCTGTTTATGTCTCTTTTTGTCCCTGGACACAGGGATTAGCGACCCACTCTCCACCAAATTTCAAATCATTAGGGGCATTATGTTGTGTCCCAGGAGTGGCTGAGGCTTTAAGTACCTGCTGCTCTAACCTAGGCCTGCTGAGGAGTACAATTCATCTTGTGTTTCTGTGTTGTTTAACAACCTTCCTGAACTCCTCTAAATCAGTCCTTCCTGCCACAACTGGCAAGAATCAAGAAACTCTCCAAGAAAATGTTTCTCAACCTGCCTGTTGTCAAGTAGAAGACAGGTCTGCTGACCATGGCAGGCATGGCAGTGCATGATAGTGAGCGCCCCCCACCGTGTTTGCTATTCACTGCATGTTCCACCTGAACTTTCCCATCTGCTCAGTGAGTCTTGGCAGTGGGGTAAAGGGGACTCACTCTCAAAGACCAAGGCTGACCCTCTCTGAATACAATGCCTTGAACTAGTTACTGTCACTGTGGTTTTGTCTTCAGGGACTAAAAAAGATACAATAAGAATTTGTTCCTTTAGTTGTCCTGTTGATGCACAAAATACTTAAATGCTTCTACATAGGTCTGCTCTTGTGCACCACAGAGCACTAAGGGAAAGTCCCCACAATAAAAGTGCTTTTCACCTGAGCTGCTATGTGTGACACTGTACTTTCCCTCTGTAACAGCATGGATAAATACAGAGATAACTAGCAACTGATACCCTAGTATGCCAAGCAATTGGTGTATCTGTGTGATTAAAAACCAGCATTTAACCATACTCTAGATACACTAAATATCAAGCTCACACTCATAGCCTGTAATTCCACTTTGCTTCCAGATGGCAGTTACAATTGGATAGGAAATACCTAGTTTACAGGAGGCATTAATACTTCATTGTTGCAGAAACTAAACCCTTAAAAGAATGTATCCTTGACTTTCTGACCTGGATACTAACAAACAGTGAAAAATATGTATCTAAGAATACATTTGGAACAGAAATGTGAAAAACCAAAAGTAAGAGATATTATGAAGGATCAAATATAAAATGCTCCAGTGCTAAAGAGGCAACAAAGAAAATTGTAGAAGAAAATGACAAGAGGCATTATGTCTTAATGAGTTTGTGCTACTGTATAAGAAAATACAATAGGCTGGGTAATTTCTGAAGAAGAGAAATTATTTCTCCTAGTTCCATAGGCTGGAAGTCCAAGATCAAGATGCCAGAAGGATTGGTGTCTGGTGAGGACCTGGCCTTTGCATCCAAGATGGTACCTTGTGCACTGTGTCTTCAGGAGGAGATGCACTGTGCCCTCACATGGCAGAAGGTGAAAGGGCAAAACAGGGGAAGCCCACGCCCTCCAGTCCTTGTGTAAGGACCCTAAACCCATTCTTGAAGGAACTCTCTTCATGAATGAATCACTACCTAAGGGCGCTACTTCCTAATCCTATAACATTGTGATTAATTTTAGGGGAACACATTCAGAACATAGCACTCTATATTCAATTTTTAAAAAAATTATTTTGTTGTTTTGCTTTTCTGTTTTTCAAATGGCTTAAAGTGCACAAAATTTGATTAATCATATTCCTTGACTCATAGCATACCTTGGCTCCTATTTCATCCTTGTCTGTGCCTGGGCCTCTATGCAAATGTATTTGAATAATATGGTAATCACTTGTGAACCCACAACACAACTCAAGAACTAGGGTTCTGACCCTAACATCTGCTCCTCCTCTGTCTTTTTTCCTGATTTACACCCTTCAGCCCCAGGGTAACTACTACCCTGAATTTATGTTTAGGATTCCCTGCCTTTAAAAAAATTGCTTTATTGCCTATATATGATTGCCCTAAATGACATATTATTTAGTTTTTTAAAGGTATAATTTATTTACCCATTCTCCTATTAATTTACCTATTCTCCTATTAATGAACATCTGGCTTGTTTCCATATATTTGCTGTTATGAATGGCATTACATGAGCATTTATTTTTTTACTACTTCTGGTACATATGGGCAAGAGTTTCTCCAGGGCCTATGGTAGAGAAATTAGTTTGCCATAACATATGAGAATGCTCAACTTTATAAGATAATCCAAATTGTTTTCCAAAGTGGTAATTCTAATTTAAACCCTCACCTCCTGTATTAGTTCGAGATGATCTTGTTGATCCACAGTCTCTCCATATTTGGTGATAAGGTTTGGCTGTGTCCCCACTCAAATCTCAGCTTGAGTTCTATCTCCCAGAATATCCACATGTTGTGGGGGGGACACAGGGTGAGGTAACTGAATGATGGAGGCCAGTCTTTCCTGTGCTATTCTCATGATAGGGAATAAGCCTCAAGAGATCTGATGGGTTTATCAGGGGTTTCTGCTTTGGCTTCCTCCTCATTTTCTCTTGCTGCTGCCATTTAAGAAGTCCCTTTCACCTCCTACCATGACTCTGAGACCTCCCCCACCATGTGGGACTGTAAATCCAATTACAGTTCTTTTTCTTTACACCTCTTTTTCTTCTCAGACTTGGGTATGTCTTTATCAGCAGTGTGAAAACAGACTAATACAGTAAATTGATACCAGTGGTGTGGGGTGCTGCTGAAAAGATAGTGAAAAATGTGGAAGCAACTTTGAAACTTGTTAACAGGCAGAAGTTGGAACAGTTTCAAGGGCTCAGAAAAAGAATGGAAAAGGTGGGAAATTTTGGAACCTCCTAGAGACTTGTTGAATGGATTTGACAAAAATGCTGATAGTGTTTTGAACAATAAGGTCCAGGCTGAGGTGGTCTCAGATGGAGATGAGAAACTTGTTGGGAACTGGAGCAAAGGTGACTCTCGTTATGTTTTAGCAAAAAGAATGGCAGCATTTTGCCCCTGCCCTAGAGATTTGTGGAACTTTGAACTTGAGAGAGATGATTTAGGTTATCTGCTGGAAGAAATTTCTAAGCAGTAAAACATTCAAGAGGTGACTTGGGTGATTCTAAAGGACTTTGGTTTCATAAAGGAAGCAGAGCATACAAGTTTGGAAAATTTGCAGCCTGACAATGTGATAGAGAAGAAAATCCCATTTTCTGAGGATAAATTAGAGGAGTCTGCAGAAATTTGCATAAGTAACGAGAAGCTGAATGTTAATCCCCAAAACAATGGGGAAAATTTCTACGGGACATGTCACAGGTCATCACAGCAGACCCTCCCATCACAAGCCCAGAGGCCTAGGAGGAAAAAATGGTTTTCTGGGCTGGGCACAGGTTGACTGTGCTGTGTGCAGCCTAGGGCCTTGGTTCTCTGCATTTCAGCCCTTCTAGCCATGGCTGAAAGGGACCAACATAGAACTCAGGCCATGGCTTGAGAGTGCAAACGCCAAGCCTTGGCAGCTTCCACGTGGTGTTGAGTCTGCACATGCATAGAAGTCAAGAATTGAGGTTTGGAAACCCCCACCTAGATTTCAGAGGATGTATGAAAATACCAGGATGTCCAAGCAGAAGTTTGCTGCAGGGGTGGGACTCTGATGGAAAACCTCTGCTAGGGCTGTGCAGAAGGGAAATGTGGGATTGGAGCCCCTACACAGAGTCCCTACTGGGGCACTTCCTAGTGGAGCTGTGAGGAGAGGGTCACACTCCTCCAGGCCCCAGAATGGTAGATTCACTGATGGCTTGCACTGTGAGCCTGGAAAAGCTGCAGTCACTCAACATCAGCCCATGAAAGTAGCCAGGAGGTGGGCTATATGCTACAAAGCCACAGGGGCAGAACTATCCAAGGCTGTGGGAGCCCACCTCTTGCATCAGCATGATCCTGATGTGAAACATGAAGTCAACGGAGATCATTTTGGAGATTTAAAATTTTACTACCTTGCTGGATTTCAGACTTGCATGGGACCAGTAGCCCCTTTGTTTTGGCCAATTTCTCCCATTTGGAACAGCAGCATTTACTCAACTACCTGTACCCCCACTGTATCTAGGAAGTAACTAGCTTGATTTGGATTTTACAGGGTCATAGGCAGAAGAGACTTGCTTTGTCTCAGATGAGACTTTGGACAGTGGACATTTGGGTTAATGCTGAAATGAGTTGAGACTTTGGGGGACTGTTGGGAAGGAATAATAGGTTTTGAAATGTGAGGACATGAGATTTGGACAGAACGTGAGATTTGGAAGGGCCAGGAGTGGAAAAATATGGTTTGACTGTGTCCCTACCCACATCTCAACTTGAATTGTATTGCTCAGAATTCCCACGTGTTCGGGGAGGGAACCAGGGGGAGGTAGTTGAATCTTTGGGGCTGGTCTTTCCCATGCTGTTCTTGTGATAGTGAATAAATCTCACAAGATCTGATGGGTTTACCAGTGGTTTCATCTTTTGTTTATTTTGCCTCCTTCTCATATTCTCTTGCCACTGCCATGTAAGACATGCTGTTCATCCACTGCCATAACTCTGAGGCCTCCTCAACCATGTGGATCCCGAAATACAATTAAACCTCTTTTTCTTCCCCATCTCAGGTATGTCTTTATCAGCAGTGTGAATGTGAACTAATACATTTGGTATTGTCAAACTTCTTAATAATTGTGGGGAGAATAGATGTGTAGTATCTTGGGCATTTTCCTGATTACTAATGAGGTGGGGACATTTTTTACATTTTGCAGGCTTTCTTTTTTGTGAAATCCCTATTGATGTATTTTCCCAATTTTCTGTTGGGTTGCTATTTTTAAAATTAATTCATAGGAGTTCCTTATACTTAGTTGATATGATTTTAATATTTCATAGGTTTTAGGTACTGCAAATATCTTCTAATTTATAGTTTATCTTTTCACTTTTTTACTTTTATTTTTTAATTTCTTTTTTTTTTTTTTTTTTGAGACGGAGTCTAGCTCTGTTATTCAGGCTGGAGTGCAGTGGCTCACTGCAACCTCCACCTCCCGGGTTCAGATGATTCTTGTGTCTCAGCTTCCCAAGTAGCTGGAATTACAGGTGTCTGCCACTAATGCCAAGCTAATTTCTTGTATTTTTAGTAGAGACGGGGTTTCACCATGTTGGCCAGCCTGGTCTCAAACTCCTGACCTCAGATGATGTACTGTTCGGATTACAGGCTTGAGACACCTTGCCCAGCCTATCTTTCCACTTTTTGATGTAAAAAGTTCTTAATTGTATGAGAGTCAAAATGTCTAATCTTTTTTAATGGTTAAATGGCTTTTTGTGTCTCATTCACATACATTTTCTACTAAAAGTTTTAAAGTTTTGTTTCTGACATGTAAGTCTTTGGTCTTTGGAATTTAATGTTTGTAATAGAGTGAAGTAGGAATATAATTTCATTTTGTTTCCTATATCAATAACCATTATTTTTCTATTCTATTTATTGAAAAGTTCTTTCTTTCCTTGCTGATCTGCCATGTCACCTACATCACATATCAAAGATTAAATTTGTGAATATTTGTTTGGGAACTCTCTATTCTGTTTCATCAGTCAGTTTATCAGTGAAAACCACACTGTCTTAATTGCTGTAGCTTTATAAAAGTTCTGATATTTGCTAGCACAAATCTTTCCTCTTTTTAATAAGGCCTTTGATATTCTTGGCCCCCTCCCTTTTCCATATATATATAGAGAGAGAGAGAAAGAGAGAGTATATATATCCATATATATGATATATAAATATTATATTTATATATATTTATATATATAAATATTATATATATTATATTTATATATATATAAATATTATATATATATAAATATTATATATCATATATATCTATAGTATGATATATATTATATATCATATATTTCCTATATCAATAACCATTATTTTTCTATTCTATTTATTGAAAAGTTCTTTCTTTCCTTGCTGATCTGCCATGTCACCTACATCACATATCAAAGATTAAATTTGTGAATATTTGTTTGGGAACTCTCTATTCTGTTTCATCAGTCAGTTTATCAGTGAAAACCACACTGTCTTAATTGCTGTAGCTTTATAAAAGTTCTGATATTTGCTAGCACAAATCTTTCCTCTTTTTAATAAGGCCTTTGATATTCTTGGCCCCCTCCCTTTTCCATATATATATAGAGAGAGAGAGAAAGAGAGAGTATATATATCCATATATATGATATATATATCATATGTATTTAATATATATGATATATATATCATATATATTTATATATGATATTTATATGTATGATATATATCACATATATTTATACATATATTTATATATGATATATATCATATATAATATATATGATATATATCATATATATTTATATATGATATATATCACATATATTTATACATATATTTATATATGATATATATCATATATAAAATATATCATATATATCATGATATATCATCTATATCATAAATATTTATATATATAGAGAGAGACAGAGTCTCACTTTCTTGCCCAGGCTTGAGGACTGTGGCAATCGTAGCTCACTGCAGACTTGAACTCCTGGGCTCAAGAACTCCTCCTACTTCAGCCTCCCAAGTAACTGGGACTCTAAGGCATGTACCACCTCATCCATCTAATTTAAAAAATATATATTATTTTTTGTAACGATGGGGATCTTGCTATGCTGCCCAGGCTGGTCTCAAACTTTTGGCCTCAAGCAATCCTCCCACCTCAAGCTCCCGAAGTGTTGGGATCACAAGAGTGAGCCACCACACCTGGCTCCATTTTCCATATTTTAAGACCGTTTTTTAAAAGCTGCTCAAGACTGCTTTTTTCTCTTGGTGCTACTTGCAACTCCCTTACTTAGCCTTGGAAATACTCTTAATGAAGAAAATCTAAAGAGTTGAAAAATAAAATATTATTTCTTTTCTTCCAATTGCAAAAGAGCAGACACCCTCCTGAATCATAAAGCTAGTTTTGATAAATTGGTGAACTGAGAGCATACACAGTGTTATTAATTCTGTTCTCATTTCTGCTTCACTGTAGAGTGTCTTCACAGAGTCTTAAAAGATTATTGCTATGAAATATTCTTATACATGTAACACATAACCTCTATAATTCTGCAGTAGTACTTGGCTGTCTTACCTAATAATCAATTGCTTTGCTTCATAATATTTAAATTGGCATCTTATTTTCCAAAATGCATAAATACTAGTATAGATTTTTAGTTAAGCCAGAAGAAAGTAGACTTTATTTACTAACATAACTTACATGTAAGGGTTTAATAAATCTCCCTGCTTCTTTTCTTTTGCATCATAACAACCACTGAAAATAATATTTGTATAGCAGTTGGGGGTAAATGGACAATGACTTTTGTGGCAGGAGGTGAATGGCCCAGGGGCTCCTCCTGCACTCCAGGTCCCACTGAGCCTGCCACACAGCTGAGGGCATCGGTATTTCCACACACCTACAGTGCACGCTGTCCCAGAACACAGATCAGATGCTCTCCTTTATTCAAATGGGGAGTTGAGAGTATTGTGATTGTAATTCAATTAATAAATACATATTTATGCACTGTTAAAATCTGGTTGGATTTGCATCCCTTCACAAAACAAATTGCTTAAATGAAACCACAGAGTTAACATAAATGAGTACATTTGCTTCTATGATATGCTCTTTTAAATGGAATTAGAATCTAATTTGAAATGTCAATTAAAAGTTTAAATATTCAACTAAATTACATTTAGATTTTTGTTTCGTTTGTTTTGAGATGGAGTTTAGCTCTGGTCACCCAGGCTGGAATGCAATGGCGCAATCTCAGCTCACTGCAAGCACCTTCTCCCAGGTTCAAGAAATTCTCTTGCCTCAACCTCCTGAGTAGCTGGGATTACAGGTGCCTGCCACTGCATCTGGCTAATTTTTGTATTTTCAGTAGAGATGGGGTTTCACCATGTTGGCCAGGCTGGTCTTGAACTCCTGACCTCACGTGATCCACCCACCTAGGCCTCCCAAAGTGCTGGGATTACAGGTGTGAGCCACCGCGCTCGGCCTCTTTAGATTATTTTACTTTATTTTAGTTACTTATTTTACAACTTTATTGTTATAAAAATGCTAGCTTTTTAAAAAAATCAATCAATATAACAAAGAACAGAGAAGATGATCAACAAGCATTCCCACCTGCATGATCTGGAAATAACTGTCATCAATCCAAAAGCTGGCACATGGTGGATCCCTTCACACCAGTTCCCAGTACAAAGTAACCCCTTGCTTGTAGAAAATATTATTATTATCATTAGTATTTTTGAGACAGAACTTGAGTCTTGTAGCCCAGGCTGGAGTGCAATGGTCCAATCTCAGCTCACTGCAACCTCTGCCTCCCAGGATCAAAGTGTTCTCCTGCCTCAGCCTCCCAAGCACCTGGGATTACAGGCATGCACCACCATGGCCTGCTAATTTTTTGTATTTTTAGTAGAGACAGGGTTTCACCATGTTGGCCAGGCTGGTCTCGAACTCCTGACCTCAGGTGATCCACTTGCCTCAGCCTTCCAAAGTGTTGGGATTACAGGCATGAACCACCACACCTGGACTAGAAAACATTTTTCATTAGCAAACACTATGCTTGGGGGTTTTAGGACTGATTATTTTCAAATCTCTAGAAAAGTTCAATGTATTACCTTAGGCTATAATCCCAGGGCAGAGTCTCATCTGTTAATAGGAGGCTGGTCTAAGGGTCCTTCCAGCTCTCAGATTAATGGTTTCCCATGTTGAACTGCTCCCTGCCACTCATCCATCCTTGGTTTTGTTTGTTTGTTTGTTTGTTTGTTTTTACAGGACAAGGTCTCACTATATTGCCCAGGCTGGTCTTGAACTCCTGGCCTTAAGCAATCCTCCTGCCTTGGCCTCCCAAAGTGTTGGAGTTACAGATGTGAGCCTTTGTGCTCAGCCCATCCTTGGCTGTTCAAGTGTGGAGGTAAATTGTAGATGCTAAGTTTACCTCCAGGTCAGAAGGGGCAGATGCCCCAGGGCAGAATCATAACCCTAACCGGGCCTCCCACTGCATGAAGACCTTATTTTCTGATGCTTAAACCTGGACAAAGGTCTGACCAGTAGCACTGTGTTCATGAATATCAGGTCAAAAATTTAAAACTGGGACTATCCAGAAGAACCTGGTAGATGCAGGTGCAGTCTGCAGTCCAATGGTCAGCCACGAAAACAGGCTACCTGTTCTTTCTCTTTATCATGGAGTCCTTGATGTAAAAATCGATGACACTTTCTTGCTTCTGGTGTGCTTCCCTTTCTTCTTCATTTTCCATAAGTAGTTTCCTCCATCCCACCTCCCAACAGGCCACAGTCAATTCAGGACATTTTAACCATGAAAATGAGTCTCCATAACACGAATTTAGAGGCCAGGCAGGGTGGCTCATGTCTGTAATCCCAGCACTCTGGGAGGCTGAAGTGGGAGAATAGATTGAGCTTAGGAGTTTGAGACCAGCCTGGGCAACATGGTGAAACCCTGTCTCTAACCAAAAATAAATGAATTAAAAAAAAAAAAAACATGTATGGTGGTACATGCTATTAGTCCAGCTACTCAGGAGGCTGAGGTGGGAGGATTGCTTGAGTCAAGGAGGTCAAGTCTGAAGTGGGCCAAGATCATGCCACTGCAGTCCTTCCTGGGCAACAGAGTGAGACCTTATCTCAAGAAAAAAAAAAGTTTTATAGGACAGACTGACTCTCTTATTACAAGCCAATGCTCATTTGCCATTCAATAAATCCTAGGGCACCTCTTAAGAATTATGATAAATCTACTCTACCCATGCTCTATAAATGGATTCACTATTGTAGATGCCACTAAGAGCATTCATGATTCGCCAGAGGAAGTAAAAATAGCAGCAGTAATAGGAGGTTGGAAGAAGTTGATTCCAACCGTCATAAATGATTTTGAGGGGTTCAAGACTTTAGCAGAGGAAGTAACCACAGTTGTGGTGAAGATAGCAAGAGAACTAGTATTACAAGTGGAGCCTGAAGATGTGAGTGAATTGCTGCAATGTTTTTTTTTTTTTTTTTTTTTTGAGATGGAATTTTGCTCTTGTTGCCCGGGCTGGAGTGCAATGGTGCAATCTCAGCTCATTGCAGCCTCCGCCTCATGGTTTCAAGCGATTCTCCTGCCTCAGCCTCCCGAGTAGCTGGTATTGTAGGCTTGTGTCATGACACCCGGCTAATTTTGTATTTTTAGTAGAGATGGAGTTTCACCATGTTGGTCAGGCTGGTCTCGAACTCCCAACGTCAGATGATCCACTCACCTCAGCCTACAAAATTGCTGGGATTACAGGCATGAGCCACCGCACCTGGCCAAATTGCTGCAATCTTAGTGGATGAAGAGTTGCTTATTATGAATGAGCAAAGAAAGTGGTTTCTTGGGATGGAATCTACTCCTGATGAAGATGCCATGAACATGTGGAAAGAACAACAAAGGACTTAGAATATTCCATAAATTTAGTTTATAGAGGAGTGGCAGGGTTTGAGAGGATTAGTTCCAGTTTTGATATAAATTCTACTGTGGGTAAAATGCTAACAAACTGTACAGCATGCTACAGTGAAATCTTTTGTGAAAGCAAGAGTCAGTCAATGCGGCAAACTTCATTGTCATGTTATTTTAAGAAATTGCCACAACCTCTCCAGCCCTCAGCAACCATCACCCTGATCAGTCAGTAGCTATCAACACTGAGGCAAAACCATCCACCAGCAAAGTGATGGTGACTTGATGAAGGCCCAGATGATGGTTAGCATTTTTTGGCAATCAAGTATTTTCAAAGTAAGGTATTTACACTATATTTTAGACATAATGCTATTGCACACTTAATTGACTACAGTAGTTTAAACATAACTTTTTTTTTTTTTTTTGAGATGGAGTCTCACTCTGTTGCCCAGGTTGGAGTGCAGTGGTGTGATCTTGTCTCACTGCAAACTCTGCCTCCCATGTTCAAACAATTCTCCTGCCTCAGCCTCTTGAGTAGCTAGGAATACAGGCGCTCACCACCATTTTTCTATTTCCACAGGGTTTCCCCATGTTGGCCAGGCAGGTCTCGAACTTCTGACCTTGGGTGATCCACCCGCCTCGGCCTCCCAATGTGCTGGGATTACAGGCTTGAGCCACCATGCCTGGCAACACAACTTTTATGTGCACCAGAAAGCAAAGAATTTCTTGTGACTTGCAAAAAATTTCGTGTGACTTGCTCTATTGTGATATTCGCCTTATTGTGGTGACTTAGAACCAAACCTGAAATATCTCCAAGGTGTGCCTGTACCCCTGAAAGCAGAGCTGGAGTAAAGACTTGGGTGTGGATGGTTTATTTGGGAAGTGATTCCAAGAAGCAAGAGTGAGATGTGGGAAGAGTGAACCAGGCAAGAAAAAAAAGCCAAAATAATGGCATGCTACTGAGGCTGCCCCCATGCACTTTTTTTATGCGGGACCTTCCGAGAGGCTCTGGAAAGTTATCCAGGACTGTCCATCTGAAACATGAGCCTCGAGCATTTGCCCACCTGTCCCACACTGTTTGAGGTCTTCCCCTGAGGCTGTTAACCTGCAAGTGTTTCTGGGCTGTATTTGTGCTCAGGCAAAATCCTATAATAGTGGAGATGTCCTGGGGCAGAAAGTGTAGCTTGAGTTTGCTGGCAGCAAAAGGGAAGCCTGTGCTTCAGTGGAGCTCCCCACGGTGGCTGAGACTGAATGAAAAGTGTGCTGAGAAGTCATGATGCAGTCGTCATTGCACGGAGGAATCGTAGCCATCGATCTTGGCAAGAGGACCCCCACCCTGAATCCTGCGCTTGAGAAGGTGCCTCTCTGGCCCTCCACTGACTGTACCCTGGCCCACCCAGAGCTCTCACCCTCTCTTCTAGGGCACATGCTGGGCACTCAGTCCCCTGGCTAAATGTGCCTGAGCCTGCATGGCCTCTTCCCTGGGTCCATTTCAAAATGCAAACTGTGTTTGTCCAAATGGTGCCCAAGGCTCTGCTGTCTGAAGGGGTGAGAATGGTAGATGGAGCTTGCATGGAGCCTAGGGAGTCCCTCACACAGGGGTACGCAAGGCTTCTCAAGTAAGGACAGGGCTAGCTTTGATGAAAGAAAAAAGTTTAGCCTGGGGCTGAGGGTCAGCTCTCCCTTTACTACTGCATTCCCGTGCAGAGCACCAAGAAATCAGAGAATTCTACACTCGACTTCGACCTTGTGGGTTATTATGGTGGTATATTTATGGAAGTAGAAGAATGGAATGTATTTAGCTATTTTTTAGCTTCATTTATAATTCATAATTATTTAGACATAATGCAAATATGGGCTGGAATTCATGTTCTGATTTCTGTGGCCTTGAGCTAAGGAAAAGGGACCCAGGAAATGGGCTTTATGTGCTTGGATGGCTTCATGGAATCCCCAACTTCATTAGCTTCTGTGATGACTGAAGATTGTTACTAAAATCCACTTTGTATTATCTTTAAAAACCAAGGGATATTATGTAGCTCAGCAGTTAGAAGGCACTTGACTCAAAATATCTATGAACCAAAGGATATAAATGACTAAGAGCAGGAGGATCATTACCTGAAGGGGTAGAAAGTTGATCTCAGGATATGACCTGTGAGATCCTTCCTGCTGGCTCAGTGCTGACTGAACGTGGGGCAGGAGAGCCCCAGGAGTGACACATATCTGGGATAGGAGGGAATGCGGGGAGGAAGGAAAGAGAAATAGGCCCTTTTTGTTTTTATTGATACATGACAATTATAATTATTTCTAGGTTACATGTGATATTTTGATACATGCATACTTTGTGTACTGATCAAATCAAGATAGTTTGCATTTCCATACCTCAAACACTTATCATTTATTTGTGTTAGGAAAATTCCACATCTTTCCTCTAGCCATTTTGAAATGTATAATAAGTTATTGTTAATGATCATCACCTACTGTGCTACTGAACACTAGAACTTCTTCTGTTCCTTCCATCTAACTGTATTTTTGTGCCCATTAACCAACTTCTGGGAAGGGCAAAAGAGTGGGTGGATGAAAAGAGCCATTCTTAATGCAAAGAAAATCTTACAAGAAGGGAAGACATCTTAGGAGGAAAAATAAAAAGGTGGACCATGGGCTTAGAGTGGGGACTGCAGAAATTGAATGGTAAAGAAAAAACCAACTTAGCGATGTGAAAATAAATCTCAATGTCATTCCTTTCACAAGTCCAATGTCTGATATTCTTTTGGCAAGCTGGATATGAAGTAGGAATCTTTCTTTGAGTCATAAATTTTCATGATTATGATTATTATTGAATAATAGCTGACAATTATTGAGAGCAATTATTGAGGCCAATAATTGAGCATTGACAAGCTCTTTTCAAAGGCCTTTATATATGTTTTCTCCACTTCTAACTGTTAGATATTCTTATTATTCCCATTTTGTAGACGAGGGATGCACAGGCATAAAGCCTATGTGGAGGAAGAGAACAGCTAAGTAACCTGACCATGGCCCAATAGCAAACAAATGATGGGGCCACATGCAAATCCAGGCAGAACCCTTCTATTATATGAAGCTCAATGTTTTCTTGTTTGCATCTTGTTATGAATACACCTATTTGCAAAGGGGTTTTGAAGCTACATTAAAACATTATGTGGTCGTGTGTGGTGGCTGATGCCTATAATCCCAGCATTTTGGGAGATCAAAGTGGGCAGATTGCCTGATCTCAGGAGTTTGAGACCAGCTTGGCCAACATGGTGAAACCCTGTGTCTACTAAAAATACAAAAAAATTAGCCGGGAGTGTTAGTGTGCACCTGTAATCCCAGATACTCTGGAGGCTGAGGCAGGAGAATCGCTTGAACCCGGGAGAGGAAGGTTACAGTAAGCCAAGATCGTGCCACTGCACTCCAGCCTGGGTGACAGAGTGAGACTCTGTCTCTAAATAAATAAATAAATAAACAAGATTGAACTTTGAGCTCCTGACCATGTCCCTAGATTGTACTCATATGTATTTTGATGTCTTCTAAGACTTATTCTTAGTGCAGTTTTTAAGTTAAAGTATTTACTGGGCATCTACTGTATATCAGGTGCTGAGATAGGCATCAGCGGTGCAGGGAACCTATGGCACAGTCTCTGCCCTCAAGTAACTTTCACTCACCACATATATTTATTAGGACACTGATACATGTGTGAATATAAGATAGTAAGATAGACATTGCAACAAATAATTATTTACTGTAAAACTATTTCATAGGATTTTAATCTTAAAGTACTTTCACCCTATTTCCAAAAAAATGTATTGCATAACTTTAAAGGGATTCTCAGTTTGAAATCATCATATGAACTGCAGTAGCATCTACTGGTGAAATACTGCTTTGTATCTATTAGAATAGTCCAAACAATTTGGAGAGAACTGCATTGTTAGTGTTGTAAAATTTACTGTCTAGAAATCTCAGAAAAGAAGAAGAAGTTCTATGGTAGATGAATAAGATGACATCTAAACTGTTCCCTTAAGCTACTTAAGTTCTGTGGATATCTCACAGCACAAAGTTCAAGTGTTTGCCCACAACTCCTCATGCCACAAGATGTGACACCTTTCCAATCTCTTTTTGCAAAAGTTTCCAATTCTGTCTCTTACAAGAGTACTTTTTGTACCCACATATTCCGGATTTTGTGGTGCACGCAAAGACAAGATGGGAAGGGGGCTTCCATTTGTTGATGCCAGCTGCTCTATGGACCAGGCCCTGCCCATGCATCCATGTTGGTTCTTTTATCCCTACATCAGCCATAGCCCATAGGGATTAACCTCTATTGAACAGATGAAGAAATTGAAACTCTAAGAGAATATGCAATTTACCCAGAGTCATGCAGCTTGTGTATGTAAGAGTTGGTATGAAAATCCAATCTGAGTCTCAAGTCCCCTTCCACAATATGGTTTCCATTTCATTTTGCAATCACCTTAGCTGGGATATGTCTGCTCTAAAAAGATAGTAAGTAGGAATACTTGTCTCTATACCTTAACCTAACATCCATGAGCTTCGTTTTTGTATTTGGAGGTGTCATAACATTCTAATAATTTGATTTTATTTGAATAGTGAGTATTATACTACTCAGTCCAGAGATCTGTGACATCCCAGTCTAAACTGGATGATAGCAAAAAAGCTTCTTCAAGGAGACAAGTATGAGTAATAAGGTCGTAATAAGTTGAATTTCTATGGAGTTGCTACTTCTGAATTTAAAGCTAGCTGAGGTTAAGTAGATATTCAAAAAGATCGCTATAATCTTCACTTGAATAATATAAACATTTATCATTTTTTACATATTTATTTATTTATGGAATATAGATGTAATTTTAAAACAGAATATTTGCAAATTGTATTAAAATATATTAAAAACATAATACATTATGACCCAATAGAGTTTTTCACAGTAACTCAGTGTTAGTTTAAAATGTGAAATTCAATCAATATAATTCACCATAGAATATAGTGTGTATGTCAGTATAATGTATAACAAAATTGGAAAGAAGTAAATTTATCTTTGTATTTTAGTAAGATGAAATTAAAATTTTAGGGAATTTCAACTTTCATTTTAGATCCCGGAGGGTACCTATGCAGGTTTATTACATGGGTGTATTGTATGATGCTGAGATTTGGGGTATAAATGAAGGTGTGAGTGCCTGTCTTGAATTTGCACCGAAAGCAATCTCTCCTGATCAGCAGAGAGTAAACTAACTTGAATTACACTTGAATTTCTTAGGAGAGCAGGTCACAAAGGGCAAATTGTGGTCCATAGACAAAAGTGTCCAATGGTCTAAAATGAGCCTGCCATATCACTTAGGGTACAGGTCTTAACACAAATACATTTCAGAAAGGGGTCAAACCCTTGTTTAAAGATAAATGTAAGCTGGGTGTGGAGGCACACGTCTATAGTTCCAGCTACTCAGGAGGCTGAGGCAGGTGGATCCCTTGAGTTCAGGAGTTTAATACCAGCCTGGACAACATAGGAAGATCCCATCTCAATTTTTAAAAATGAGAAAAAATAGATAAATGTTAGCATATTAACATTTTAAAGAGTTTATTTAAGCAAACAGAGATTCATGGATCAGCCAGCTCCAAACTGAAAGTGGTTGGAGGATCCACTGGAGGTTTCTGTAGTGAAGGCTTTTATAGGGAGAATGTAGAAGTAGAGTAGAGAAATTATTTGTTTGGCAAAAATGTGGACAGTTGCATTATTTGAACTATCCTGGTGGTAGGTCTCTCATTACACAGCTAATACTCAGCGGGCCACTTGTTGGTGGGATAAGCTTGTTTCATTTTGTCTATGTAGGAACCCAGGCCATGGGAGCTATCTCAGCCTAATGCTCTCCTATTATGTTATTTTACAGCTTTCTGTATCAGGGTAAGTGGGGATCTTCCCCACGAGGCTTCTTACCACCCTGTTTCCCTCAGCAAAATGAAACTGTCCCTTTTGCCTCTGTAGGTGATCTTTTGAACAGGGCTTTCCTAATATTCTTAGCTCATCTTATTTTATCTTATCCTCTTCTCTGTACCTTGTTTACATGCTTCTGGAACACTTGTGTGTCTTTCACCGATCCCCTGCATTATTTAGGCAATCCTAAAAGAAGACTTCTTGGATGGATTGGTAGAGAACTGCTGGCATATTGAGCCCTCTCTCCTTGTATCTGGAACTTTCATAATTACCTTAGTTCTCCAGGCCAATTTTGCAATTGTCTTCGTTCTCCACTTCAAAATACATTTACCTCTGACAGAAGCTGAGCACATAAAAAAAGGGACCTTGTCCAGTGATACATGTGAAGCAGGAGACATGATATGGTTAAAATTATAAACTAAAAGCTTTATGACACCAAAAGCATAAGTAACAAAAGAAAAAAAATAAGTAATTTGGACTTCACCAAAATTTAAAACTTTTGTGCAATCGGAGGACAACTGGCAGAATGGAAGAAAATATTTCAAATAATATCTTTGCTAAGGGATCAATCTGCAGAATATAGAAAGAATTCCTACAACTCAACAATAAATTAACAACCCAATTAAAAAATAGGCAAAGGACTTACATAGAAAATTTCCCAAAAAAGATATACAACTGGCCATCAAGCACATGAAAGATGCTCAACATCACTGATTACTAAGGAAATACAAATCAAAACCATAGTAAGATACCACTTCATACACATTAAGATGGCAATCATCAAAAAAGCAGGGAATAAAAAGTGTTGGTGAGGATGTAGCCAAGTCGAAACTCTTGTACATTGCCGGTGGACTCTACAGCAGTATAGTCATGGTGGAAAAGAGTACAGTGGTTCCTAAATTAAAAACCAATGGAACATAGGCTGGGCTCAGTGGCTCATGCCTGTTATCCTAGCACTTTAGGACACTGAGGTGGCCAGATCATGAGGTCAGGTGTTCAAGACCAGCCTGACCAACATGGTGAAACCCTGTCTCAACTAAAAGTACAAAAATTAGCTGGGTGTGGTGCTGTGTGCCTGTAATCCCAGCTACTCAGGAGGCTGAGGCAGCAGAATCACTTGAATTTGGGAGGAGGAGGTTGCAGTGAGCCAAGAGAGTCAGACTCAAGCTCAAAAATAAATAAATAAATAAATAAATAAATAAATAAATAAATAAAAATGAAACATAGAATTACTATATCAGTCAGCAAGTCCACTTCTGGGTTTAAACGCACAAAAATTGAAAGCAGGGACTTCAACAGATATTTGCAAATTCATGTGCACAGCAACATTATTCATGATAGCCAAAAGGTGGAAGCATTCATTGACAGAGGAATGGATAAACAAAATGTGGTACAGATATGCAGTGGAATATTACTTAGCCTTAAAAAGGGACATTCTGTGGAATGTGGTTTGAAAACCACTTCTGTAAGGTGTTGTGCAAATGTACAAAATCCAAACCAGGGTAATAACCTCAAAATATAAAATTTAACTTATAATATTAAGACCCTGATAAATTTCACTTTCTGCTTCATAGCAAATAATTTGTTTTGAATGCAGATATATTTTGTTAAGTAGAAGACTGTGCACTAAAATATAGTCCTTAAACCAAAATCCTATGTATAAAACCACATATTTTCTATTGATTTGCATTTTTAAATGTAAAAATGGATTCACATTTCTATTTGTAAAATCCCAGACTCAAAATACTTTTACTGCTATGATTCCATGTCTTATTTACTGAGGAGGCAAACCATACTAACCCAGAATCAGGGTTTTGTGACCATCCATTTTAAATATAATTGCCTCTACTATTTCTAAGTCCCTGTTCTGCAACCCTGTGGGTCTTTTAAATTTGAGAAACAGTTTTGATGGGCCCTGTATTGAGTATTATTATTTCCCAGAGGTACTATTAATAGTTTATGGCCAGACCATCCATCCCTGAGCTTCCATTAAAAGAAAGAGGGTCTAGGTCACTGCAACTTTTTCCCATCATTGACCATCTGTCCTTGCTCCTCAAGAGCTCCCCGTGCCTCCCTGTGTATGTCTATCCCTGCAAATGCCAAGGATATGGAATAAGTGAGCCTACTGCCCCTGTGGCACTGCAGGGGGACTCCTTGGTGAAGTGTCTACATCTATCTGATGTCTCCTCACTTCTTCAATCTGTTCACTAATGTAGAATTAGGTCAGGCACAAGCTATCACAAAAAAAGAAACATAGAGTGTTTGATGTCCACAAATGTATTCACTGTAGGTAACTTAGAAATACATACGCACAAAATCCAAACCAAATATACACCCTAAATATCACCACTAGAAACAACTATTTTGGAATAATTATAGTACTCTCATTATTATTTTAATTAGTCACTTGTGATCTCTTTTACTTAAAACTTAAAAACTGGGTACTAAATGATTTTTTTAAGATATGCAACTGGTAGATAAAGCTAATCTACTATTTTCACAAAACTTCCACACAATAAACACTTATTGCAAAAGTGGAAACATTCCCTTTGAAAACTGGCACAAGATAAGGATGCCCTCTCTCACCACTCCTATTCAGCATAGGATTGGAAATTCTGTCCAGGGCAATCAGGCAAGAGAAAGAAATAAAAGGTATCCAATAGGAAGAGAGGAAGTCAAATTGCCTCTGTTTGCAGACGACATGACTGTATATGTAGAAAACCCCATCGTCTCAGCCCCAAAACTCTTTAAGTTGCAAAGTATCAGGATGCAAAATCAATGTGAAAAAATCACAAGTATTCATATACACCAATAATAGACAAGCAGAGAGCCAAATAATGAGTCAATTCCCATTCACAATTGCTACAAAGAATAAACTACCAAGGAATAGAACTTACCAGGGACGTGAAGGAACTCTTCAAGGAGAACTACAAAGCACTGCTCAAGAAAATAACACAGGACACAAACAAATGGAAAAAAAAGTCCATACTCATGGATAGGAAGAATCAATATAATGAAAATGGCCATACTGCTCTATGTAATTTATAGATTCAATGCTATTCCTATCAAGCTACTATTGACTTTCTTCACAGAATTAGAAAAAAACACTTTAAATTCCATATGGAACCAAAAAAGAGTCCATATAGCCAAGATAAACCTAAGCAAAAAGAACAAAGTTGGAGGCATCACACTACCTGACTTCAAATCATACTACAAGGCTATGGTAACCAAAACAGCACGGTTTTGGTACCTAACAAATATATAGATCAATGGAACAGAAGAGAGACCTCAAAAATAATACCACACATCTACAACCATCTGGTCTTCGACAAACCTGACAAAAACAAGCAACAGTTAAAGGATTCCCTGTTTCATAAATGGTGCTGAGAAAAGTGGCTAGCCATATGCAGAAAACAGAAACTGGACCTCTTCCTTACACCTTATACAAAAATTAACTCGAGACAGCTTAAAGACTTAAAACCACAAAAATCCTAGAAGAAAGCCTAGCCAATACCATTCAGGATGTAGGGATGAGCAGACTTCATGACTAAAACACCAAAAGCAATTGCAACAAAAGCCACAATTGAATAATGGGATCTAATTAAACTAAAAAGCTTCTGCACAGCAAAAGAAACTATCATCAGTGTGAACGGGCAACCTAAAGAATGGGAGAACATTTCTGCGATCTACCCATTGGACAAAGGTCTAATATCCAGAATCTACAAGGAACTTAAACAAATTTACAAGAACAAAACAATTCCATCAAAATGTGGGTGAAGGATATAAGCAGACACTTCTCAAAAGAAGACATTGAGGGCTGGGCATGGTGACTCATGCCTGTAATCCCAGCACTTTGGGAGGCTGGGGTGGGTGGATCACCTGAGGTCAGGAGTTCAAGACCAGCCTGGCTAACATGGTGAAACCCCGTTTTAACTAAAAATACAAAAAATTAGCTGGGCATGGTGATGCATGCCTGTAATCCCAGCTACTTGGGAGGCTGAGGCAGAAGAATCACTTGAACCCAGGAGGTGGAGGTTGCAGTGAGCCGAGATCACGCTGTTAACTACTCCAGCTTGGGCAACAAGAGTGAAAATTCGACTAAAAAAAAAAAGGGCATTTATGCAGCCAATAAACATATGAAAAAACTCTCATCATCACTGGTCATTACAGAAATACAAAGCAAAACCACAGTGAGATACCATCTCATGCCAGTTAGAATGATGATTATTAAAATGTCAGGAAACAACAGATTCTGGCAAGGCTGTGGAGAAATAGGAATGCTTTTACACTGTTGGTGGGAGTGTAAATTAGTTCCACCATTGTGGAAGACAGTGTGGCAATTCCTCAAGGATCTAGAGCCAGAAATACTATTTGACCCAGCCATCTCATTACGGGGTATATACCCAATAGATTATAAATCATTCTACTATAAAGACACATGCATACATATGTTTACTGCAGCACTATTTACAATAGCAAATACTTGGAACCAATCCAAATGCCCATCAATGATAGACTGGATAAAGAAAATGTGTCATGTATACACCATAGAATACTATGCAGCCATAAAAAAAATGAGTTCATGTCTTTTGCAGGGACATGGATGAAGTTGGAAGCCACGGTTCTCAGCAAACTAACACAGGAACAGAAAACCAAACACTGCATTTTCTCATTCATAAATGGGAGTTGAACAATGAGAACACATGGACGCATGGAGGGGAACATCACACACCAGGGTCTGTCGGGGGGTGTGGAGCAAGAGGAGGGAGAGCATTAGAATAAATACCTAATGCATGTGTGGCTTAAAACCTAGATGATGGGTTGACAGGTGCAGCAAACCACCATGGCACATGTGTACCTATGTAACAAACCTGAATGTTCTGTACATGTTCTTTCCAAGAACTTAAAGAAAAAAATAAAAATAAAAGAGAGAAAATCTCTTAAAACTTCACAGAATCTCTAACTTTATTAATATAATCAGCATACAATAAGGTAATCATAAAGGTATCATGAGAAATAAAATTTCATGAAAGCATATGTTTGTAGAAATAGCTTGTTTCAGGAAAAACATAATCTTATTTTTAAAAAATTGTCTCATAATATTTTATGGCATAAAATATCTTCTTTTCTGGCAGCCATGTTTATCTTTACAAAATACACATAGTAATCAACTAATAGCCAATCCTCATCAGGATCAAGTAAAATCAGTTGTTAAAGTAATATAAATTAATATACATTTATTAGGGAAATTCCATGAATTATCTTTTGGACCAAAAAACTATCTAGTCTGTAAATGGATCAGGTTTAGTGCGTTTACAGGGTAGGTACTGAGGCCAGAAACATTCAAGAGAGAGATTCAGACTTCAGAAAAACGAACGTGAGAGAGTTAGCTGCAGAGCAAAAGCACTAATTCAGGACTGGTGGAATAGGATAGCATACAAAAGACATGCGGAAGAAGAGAATATTTGTTTCCATGCATGCATGTATTGATATAAGCAAGCTTCCATCAAAAAATGACTTTCTTCTAAAGGTTCATATGGCATAAACATTAACACTTTTCCTTTACTGCCTCACAGATAAGCTTTTCCTCCAAAGATTCTCTTTCTGGAAAAGTAAAGTCCAGAAAGAGAAATATTTAATTGTTACAGTCATAAAAATTATACTTATTCACTAATGCTGCAGCCAAGGTAGAAGAGAGAGAAGTTCCAACTTTAGCCATACTTTCATCAACTTTTCCTTCTACTTTTAAAGACAAGCATACAGAAATGAAAGTGAGTGTTGTTATTCTGGAGAAATTATCTTAAATTTATGAAAGAACAAATTACTCATGAGATTTTGTAATCAGTAATACATTTCTTATTATAGTTTTTATCAGTGTGCCTCAACTGAGAAGGTTGAGACTTTCTGCTCAACATGATACCATATTACAGTCATGTACCACATAACAAGGTTTGGTCAATGACAGACTTGTATATACAATGGTACATCCATAAGACTATCTTACTGCATTTTACTGTACCTTTTCTATGCTGATGTTTGTTTAGAAACACAAATATCTACCATTGTGTTACAATTGCCTACAGTATTGAGTAAAGTAACATGCTATAAAGTTTTGTAGCCTAGTAGCAATAGGCCATACCATATTGCCTAGTTGTGTAGTAGTGGGCTGCAATTTAGGTTAGTGTAAGTACACTCTATGATGTTTGCAGGAAAATGAAATTGCCCAACAATGCATTTTTCAGAAAGTATCTCTGTTATTAAGTGATGCATGATTTTATTCCCCCTCCCTTCTTATTCACCTGACTCCTCATTTTTTCATACCTTACTTAACTCATCATTCGTCAATTCTTGCAAGTTCTTACTCCTCTGCAGTGTATTTAACATTCATCCTTTCACTATCATTTCCATTGTCATGTCTCATATTTCTATTCTGTCATCTGGAAAATTGCAAAGTTTCCATGATATGGCACATTGGGGCCTGAGAATATTTATATGTACATTTTCCACTTCTATTGCACTCTGTCATGAAATTCAGTGACCACAGTAGTTCCTTGTTCAAAAGCCACCAATGGCTTTAAAGCACTTATCTAAAAGTGTTCAAGTAGCCTGGTCAAATATCAACATAGCTTACAATGATTTCACTCTTATTCTACATAAAGGTTATGATTTAATCTGGACATATCTTGTTCTTTCCTGATTCTTATCAGACCATTTTTTCTGTCCTCTAGAATATAGATTTCATGTGGCCGGAAAATTTTTCTGTTTTGTTCTCTGCTGTACTCATGGTCCCTAATGATGTGTAGGCATTTAACAAATATTAACAATGAGAATTTTTTAATGAATCAGTTCATAAATACATGAATATTTCAAATAGTTTTGTCCACATTTTTTAACCTCTGGAAATCACCCACTTTTTATTTTTGAATGCCATTGACCACAGTGAGTGGTTTGCTGTCATCATAAAGGAAGATGGATCAGAATGAGTAAGAATTCTTTGATGAGTTTTAGGAAAGTGGAAAGATGTCCTGTTATTGTTTATTCAACAAATGCTTACTGATTAACTCCTGTGTTCAAGGACCTTACTCTGTTGTTTCTATCTTCAAAGGCCTCAAAATCTAGAACTTGAGATAAAAAGAAAACCTACTTAGGATATATTGTTTATTTCAATATTTTGATATTTAATCATAAAATAAAATGAAAAAATATAAGTCAGTTATTGTATTTACTTGGATCCATTGGAGAATCTCTGAAAAGGTCACTCAGAAGCCAGATTTGAAGAGCGAGTTGAAATTTACTGGAGACATATAGAGGAAGGGAACAGTTAGAAGATAGCCCATGAGTGGATTTAAGAATTTTTAGACCAGTTGTGGTGGCTCATGCCTGTAATTTCAGTACTTTGGGAGGCTAAGGTGGGAAGATCACTTGAGGCCAGGAGATCAAGACCAGCCTGGTCAACAGAGTGAGACCCCATCTCTACAAAAATGAAAAGCAAAAAATTAGCTGGGTGTGGCTGCACACCCTTGTAGTCCAAGCTATTCTAGAGTCTGAAGAGGGAGGATTGCTTGAACCCAGGAGTTCAAGGCTGCAGGGAACCATGATTACACCACTATACTCCCCCAGGCTAGGTGATAGAACACAATCCTGTCTCTTAAAAAAAATATGACTTTGAAACATTATGATAAAGTCCTGAAAGACTCTTAGTTGCCCATCCGTTTGCACAATGGAATAACAAGTGCTGAGATAACAGAAGTGTAGGGTGCCATGAGAGCCAATTGGAAGATCATTGTACCTGGATTATAGGAAGAAATAAGGGAAAGCAGCAAGGAAGATCAGGGAATGTAGAAGCTGACACATTGCAGGTGACTCAAACATAAGTGGATGAAGAAAGAATAAGTAAAGGTCTACTTAAAAAAAAGACAATAAACAGCATCAAATTTAAGAAGTTATAAAAATTTATTTAAAAAAGCAAGATATATGAGAGTAACAATAACAAAATCATAAATCATAAAAAATATAATTGCAAAATCCTGACTGGCTTTTTTATAAAAGAAACAATAATAAATTAGATAAGTTTCAATAAAATTTAATCAAGATAAAATACACATTAAAAATTAGAAATAAAGCATATAACAACAGATGTGAAGATATTTAAAGTTGATACTATGATATATTAACATTTTAAGTCTTAATAAAGTAGATAATTTAACTTTAATAGGTGAACGTAGCAATAACAAAGCAGTATATACTAAAAAAGAGTAACTTTCCTCCAAAAAAACCTTTATAAGCAATGGACTTATAGATTTCCTTCAATAATCAAGAAATATGAAATGTCAACAAAATGTTCAATGACATAGAAAAATGGGGGGGAACAAAATTTTTAACAGAACTTTTGTAAATCTGATATATAATCTGATAATGGCAACAGTGAAGAAAATTACAGAACTTCTTTCAGATAAACATATGGAAAATCTTAGAAAAACTTACCAATATATTAATAGAAAGTAATATAAAAATCAGAATAAATATCAAAATTATTGAACAAAACTCAAGATTGATTTCTGATTAAAAAGAAAAATACAGTTATAGGGAAAAGTTGAATTACTAACATCTAACTGATATATTAAGGATGCCAAAGATCAGATAGTTGTAGCTATGTGGCATTATTTCTGAGGGCTCTGATCTGTTCCATTGATCTATATCTCTGTTTTGGTACCAGTACCATGCTGTTTTGGTTACTGTAGCCTTGTAGTATAGTTTGAAGTCAGGTAGTGTGATGCCTCCAGCTTTGTTCTTTTGGCTTAGGATTGACTTGGTGATGCAGGCTCTTTTTTGGTTCCATATGAACTTTAAAGTAGTTTTTTCCAATTCTGTGAAGAAAGGCATTGGTAGCTTGATGGAGATGGCATTGAATCTGTAAATTACCTTGGGCAGTATGGCCATTTTCACGATATTGATTCTTCCTACCCATGAGCATGAAATGTTCTTCCATTTGTTTGTATCCTCTTTTATTTCCTTGAGCAGGGGTTTGTAGTTCTCCTTGAAGAGGTCCTTCACATCCCTTGTAAGTTGGATTCCTAGGTATTTTATTCTCTTTGAAGCAATTGTGAATGGGAGTTCACTCATGATTTGGCTCTATGTTTGTCTGTTGTTGGTGTATAAGAATGCTTGTGATTTTTGTACATTGATTTTGTATCCTGAGACTTTGCTGAAACAAGCAATGGGGAAAGGATTCCCTATTTAATAAATGGTGCTGGGAAAACTGGCTAGCCATATGTAGAAAGCTGAAACTGGATCCCTTCCTTATACCTTGTACAAAAATCAATTCAAGATGGATTAAAGACTTAAACGTTAGACCTAAAACCATAAAAACCCTAGAAGAAAACCTAGGCAATACCATTCAGGACATAGGCATGGACAAGGACTTCATGTCTAAAACACCAAAAGCAATGGCAACAAAAGACAAAATTGACAAATGGGATCTAATTAAACTAAAGAGCTTCTGCACAGCAAAAGAAACTACCATCAGAGTGAACAGGTAACCTACAAAATGGGAGAACATTTTCACAACCTACTCATCTGACAAAGGGCTAATATCCAGAATCTACAATCAACTCCAACAAATTTACAAGAAAAAAGCAAACAACCCCATCAAAAAGTGGGTGAAGGACATGAACAGACACTTCTCAAAAGAAGACATTTATGCAGCCAAAAAACACATGAAAAAATGCTCACCATCACTGGCCATCAGAGAAATGCAAATCAAAACCATAATGAGATACCATCTCACACCAGTTAGAATGGCAATCATTAAAAAGTCAGGAAACAACAGGTGCTGGAGAGGATGTGGAGAAATAGGAACACTTTGACACTGTTGGTGGGACTGTAAACTAGTTCAACCACTGTGGAAGTCAGTGTGGCGATTCCTCAGGGATCTAGAACTAGAAATACCATTTGACCCAGCCATCCCATTACTGGGTATATACCCAAAAGACTATAAATCATGCTGCTATAAAGACACATGCACACTTACGTTTATTGCGGTATTATTCACAATAGCAAAGACTTGGAACCAACCCAAATGTCCAACAATGATAGACTGGATTAAGAAAATGTGGCACATATACACCATGGAATACTATGCAGCCATAAAAAATGATGAGTTCATGTCCTTTGTAGGGACATGGATGAAATTGGAAATCGTCATTCTCAGTAAACTATCATAAGAACAAAAAACCAAACACTGCATATTATCACTCATAGGTGGGAATTGAACAATGAGATCACATGGACACAGGAAGGGGAATATCACACTCTGGGAACTGTTGTGGGGTGGGGGTAGGGGGGAGGGATAGCATTGGGAGATATACCTAATGCTAGATGATGAGTTAGTGGGTGCAGCGCACCAGCATGGCACATGTATACATATGTAACTAACCTGCACAATATGCACATATACCCTAAAACTTAAAGTAAAATTAAAAAAAAAGGATGCCAATCTAAAATTTGCTAATAGCATCATATTTACAAAATAATAACTATTAACATGAGAAGGAAAGTAAGATTTAATAATTAGCATTATATTACAATTCTGGGAATTCTGATCAATGCAATAAAATATCAAGTGGAAATAACTAATTCGAAAGAGGTGATAACATATTATTTACAAATATTACAAGTATAAGGAACCTTAAAATGATCATTTTCTATAATTTATTATAATAAATTGTTAAAGTCTACCTTAGGAAAATAATACTAAGAGAAAATGTTAACAAAAATATCTTTGGAGTTTTCTATGTTATCAAAATTTGGAAAAGCCTAAATATTTAGCTAGAAGGAAACAGTACATTGATATAGACTGGCATTAAACTTAGTTTCTTGATTTGATTAAACTTAGTTTCTATGAGACATTTGTATCACTCAAAGTTGTATGTATAGACACTGATTGAAACACAAAGTGGGTTATAATATCGAATATGTGATATAATGGCAACCATGAAGAAAATATCAGAGAACCAAATAGAAGGAAAAGAGCAGAACCTGAATAAAGATTACCTTTGGACAGTGGGATCTTAGTTCCTTTTAATCTTCCTACTAATTTAAAATTTGCAAATGTATTACCTTGAGAATATGAGAATACATTATATTTATAATTAGAAAACATAAAATGAGTGCTAAATAAACAAATATACCAAATTCTGTTTAGAATTGACTTCCCCAAGAAACTTTCCTTGATTAATCCCACTGGCATTGATCATTATTTTCTATGGCACCCCCATACTTATGTATTCAGTTTCTACCATATTAATTTGTATGTTTTAAAAAGTCAATTTATGAGCATAATTATGGCATTTCTACATTTATATAGTGTAGTCTCCAAACTGAATTATAAGCTTGAGGATATGAGGAACCACAGTGTATTTCCAACTATATTTATGCAATAAATCATGTGGTACTTTTCACGGAGTGAATGTTGTTAACTTACTGAACACCTGATGAAACATGGGAAAGATGGCCATATCTGACAAGAGGAACAGATGTGAAATAAAATCCAACATTCTGTATAATTCTTACTGTCTCTTAACCCTACTTGTTGAATTACAAAAACTACATATACAAAAATTTGAGCATTATACTCTTCAGCTGTACATTATCATTTCAAAACAAACTTATACATGGCTCTCACTATTACAATAATCTTCCCACTGTAAAAACTTTTAAGCTGTAACTTTCTGCCATTATTACATTACCTTCATATTAGCTTATGCCATACTTCTTTCTGAGTTTCTGTCAATATTCATCTGAAGTATTTTTGTGTAAAAATTAGATAGTAACAGGAAAATAGATAACTGCTTCTGATAGGTAGAAGTCATTACTACAGCTTTGCCTATTAACACATACACACTATTTCTTCATGTCCCAGATGTTCAGGTATATGGGAATGAACAAAATTAATGAGTTGGAACCACTTGATTCAGTTATTCTGGTGACAAACAATCTGTATAGCTCATTGGCGATTGTTTTACCTTTGACAAAGTGGCTGCAATTGTTACTTGCAGATGTAGCCACACTTAATTTCTTTTCTCCACTCCCCACTGCATTGTATTTGTTATTCTTGATATGAGAAATGTGTTAAGAAACATGCCGCTAACTGCATGTGCTCCCTATACAATTAGCTACAGAAAGAGGTGATGACTCCTATTATTCACAAATATTACAAGTATAAAGAACCTTAAAATAATCATTTTCTATAATTTGTTGTCATTTGTTAAGTTTATTTTAACAATTATCAATTAGCTACAGAACACGAGTAGTGTTTCTTACTTTAGCCAGATGTAAACATGTGATGCGGTAATATAGTGAAGAATATTATTCACTTCAGGTGATAGGGCTTTGGTCAAGAATTTTGAGAAACTCTTGAAAAAGGAAAATAAAACCCCCGTGATAGTAGTACAATTCCAAAAGCAAAAGGAGAAAAAATGTAAATGTATTAAATCAAAAAATATTTTAAGGTAAGGCAAAAGTAGGTATAGAATTGTGAGTCACATACAAATTGTGAAAGTGAGTGATTGCCCAGAAATCAAAGGAGAGGGAAAAATATGGTAGGTGAATATGGTTGCGATGCTAATCAAAAAAGTTATTAGCAGCTAGCTCAATTCAAGCTTTGAATAAATAGGAATAGAGTGTTTAAAACAGTATGCTTAATCTACAGGTGACAATATTAAGATAATTGTTGAAATATACTTAAAAGAAGTTAGTGAAATCAGAGAATGAAAGACTATTGAACTTTTCTGGTTTGTTTTGTAAAAATTTGCATATGTCCAACTTACAGGCACAAAAATAAAATACTGGACATAGAGAGCAAATCTTGGCCATTCAAATGGGAGTCGGCTATTAATTCTTTGGCCATAGGCTGTATTTCTACCAGAAAACTTTTGCTAAAATATGCGATTCAATACAGATATTCATTTTTCAAGTGTTTACAACCTGTTTGGGTCCACTTGGACTGCTGTAACAAATTACCTTAGACTGGGCAATTTATAAACCAAATTTATTATTCTCAGTTCTGGGGGATGGGAAGTCCAAGATCAAGGTGCCAGCAGAGTTGTTACCTGGTGAGGTTTGTTTCTCAAACTTACTGCTGCATCTTCACATGGCATAAGGGCAAAAGGGGCAAAGTAGCTCCCTATGGGTTCTTTTATAAGGGGACTAAGCCATTCATGATGGTTCCCCAACTCCCTTAACCTACTCACATCCCAAAGACCTCCCCGGTGTTTTTATTTATTGATTGATTTTTTGAGATGGAGTCTTGCTCTGTTGCCCAGGCTGGAGTGCAGTGGCACAATCTCAGCTCACTGCAACCTCTGCTTCCCAAATTCAAGCAATTCTCCTGCCTCAGCCTCCTGAGTAGCTGGGATTACAGGCGTGTGACACCACACCTGGTTAATTTTTGTATTTTTAGTAGAGATGGGGTTTTACCATGTTGGCCAGGCTGGTCATGAACTCCTGACCTCGTGATCTGTCAACTTCGGCCTCCCAAAGTGCTGGGATTACAGGTGTGAGCCACTGTGTCCAGCCTGGCCTCACATCTTAACACCAACATATTAGGAATTAGATTTCAATATATGAATTTTGGAGAGATAAAAACTTTCAGCCCACAGCACAAACCAAGGATGAATGTTTGAGGCACCTGTCAAAATACACATTTGAAAAGATCAGAACGTCTGCAATGCCAAGTGAATTACGTTAGTAGAGGCAAATTCTAACAATGAAATGAGAAGAACTGCAAACAGAAAGAATCACAGAGAGAACCATTTCATTTTAACATTGAGGAAAAACTTTGAATGTGGGTTCCATTCAATTGTACAATAACTCAATGTATACAGCATCAACACTTTTAAAATATTGAGATAAAATATTTTTGGATTTTATCAAATTTGATATAATGCTATAAGAAGAATTCATACTTTGAGGGGACTGTGATAAATTAAAGGATTTATTTAGTTCTGTTTGCACTTGCTACATGCTGTTTCCAATATGAATATTTTCATAAGATTTACATGTCTAATACATGAGTTGGTTCCTGACCTTGAAGCAATTGTTAGCAATAGATACACTGGTAAAAAAAAAATCTTCTGCTGTCCTGCATGACCATGGACATGGACATCTTAATATTTATGCATAATAAAAACTTTCAGTTCAGCTTAGTAAATATTTATTGACAATGTGCTAATCATGAGGAGGACTATGGATAAAGGTGGATGATAAAGATAAATTTAAGTTGGGAAAACTACCACCACTACATCTACAAGGGCTGAAAGTATATACAAGTCAGAAGCACACAGAAATCACTGAACCACAAAGTAAATGGCCGTAAGTGCTGCTATATACCCAAACCATGTCCTACTTATATAGTCCTTTAAATGGATAAATAATACATTAATTCTGACTGGGAAGGGAGAAAGTTTCTAGGAATAGTTCTTTAAAAAGTTGCATCAGTTTTGATTAATACATAGGAAGAGACTGTTACAGAAGAAGAGCTGGCTAACGGAACACCTAACATAATTTTATTCTTGCACAATATCAGGGAACCCAACAGTTTTGTCAGCAGTAGCTACTTTTAATTTCCTTGGATACTTGAGATCATCTGGGAAGATTGTGGTAAGTAAGGCTGCTGATGAAGACTTTGATTAAGAAAGGATTTATCAGGAGCTGGGAACAGTCGCTCATGCCTGTAATCCCAGCCAAGTAGGAGGATGACGCAGGAAGACTGCTTAAGTCCAGGAATTAGAGATTAACCTGGGCAATATAGCCAGACCACCGTCTCTACAAAAACAAAACAAAACAAAACAAAACAATTAGATGGGCATTGTGGCACATGCCTGTGGCCCCAGCTACTGGGGAGACTGAGGTAAAAAGATCACTTGGGCCCAGGAGTTTGAGGCTACAATAAGCTATAATTGTGATGGCGGCAGCTGCTGCCATAATGCCAGCTGCTGGGGAGAGGTGTGGCAGGGTTGTATGCTCTCTAGAGTTGGCAAGATGGGGACAAGTGGGAGCCCTGCCCCTTCTGAGTTGGAATGAGAGCTCCCTGGGTTCTGCTGCAGCTGCCCAAACTGAAGCTGTAGCTGTAGACCTGGACGTCCCACTCCATGGAGCAGACGGGAGTTCATCCAACTCCCCTACTCTGTCCCCACCCCAGCCCACCACCCAGCCACCCAAACCCATGCTGCAGACTCAGGCATCCCTGCACTCTTGGGGAGCCTGGGAACAACCCCCTCGCCCCTTGCAGGCTTGGAGGCACCTCCTCCTGCTCCCTGGTCTCTCCAACCTCCTGGCTCTGTGCTCTGATCTCAGAGTGGGGCTGGGACCCAGCAGGGTGCTGTCACAGCCCAGCCAGGTGTGCAAACATTGGAAGCAGTGCTGACATGCCAGTCCCCTGCCACCTCAGCCCCCTCTGGACTTTGGACACCGAGGAGCAGGAGCATGGGAGGGGAAGCTGAGGTGGTCCGAGGGTGGCTGGGCACTGGCCTGCAAGTGCCCCTTGATGCCAGCAGCCTGGGTGCCATGGATGGCTGTGGGAGGCAGACAGGCTGCTGGGTGGAAGGGGATGGGTCCCCAGTGAAGCCCCACCTGCAGGCTAGGCTGCCAGTCCTGCAGACTGGAGGCAAAACTCATGGGGCTTTTTCCTGGGCCCGCCAATGGCTGCCCATGGACCAATGGGCATACACTTCCTCCCCTCTGACATCCATAAAAGCCTGGGACTCAGCCAGAACAAGGCAGAAGACAGAGGAGGGAAGACTAGAGGCAGAAATGAGCTATCCTTTCTACTGATAGCTGGAGACAATGGGAGGGCCAGCTACTTTCTCTGCTGAATGCTTCAGAGACCTGCAGAGATGTCTGGGAACTACCAGCTGCAGACAGGAGCAGCCCTCTCCAGGGTTTCCCTTTCTGCTGAGAGCTGAACACTTGACAAACAACCTAGAGAGGAGCTACCCACCATGGGTCTCCTCTGAGCTGTTCTAACACTTAATAAAGCTCCTCTCCTTTAACCCTTCACTTGTCTACCTACACCATTCTTCCTGGATGCAGGACAAGAACTCGGGCAAAGATGCCACCAACCACAGTTTTCCAACCAGAAAATCGACACCCCAAAGATTCCATAACAATTGCACCACTGCACTCCAGCCTAGGTGACAGAGTGAGACCCTGACTCTTAAAAAAAGGAAAAAAAAAGGAATTATCCACAAGTTATTAGATAAGACTGCTAATAGCTTCTAATTGCGATACTTTCCCATTTGAAATGGAAGGTATGGAAGTTAATACCAGGTCAGTTTTACCAAAGTTATAACACTGCTTTTGGCCTCTTTCATCTCCAGTCAGACATTAGCAATGCTCAGTTACCTTCAACATTAAGCCAGTCCTGACATGAAACTGGCAGCATTTGAGAACACTGACCCAGACTTGAAGGTAGATCTGGAATTAGGATTGCTGCTTTAAGCCCAGTATCAAGGTATACAGTGAATCATGAATTTCTCATAAACGAAATTTAGTGGATTTTTTCCTATAATTCTGATGATAACTTTGCCTTGATTATATATTAAAACAATTCATTTGCTGTATCTTCATTACTGTCCCAAATGTTTTGGGTTGACATACTGATGTTAGCTAGTGGTTTTGGTCTCAAGTTTCAGTAGCTGCTCCAGTGTAAAATGATCACACATAAATCTTAGGTTTTTACTCATACGATACCTTGTCTGATACTATATTCATCTACCAAATAAAGGGTTTAGTATTTCTTAGTCAATGTGGGCTGCTATAACAGAAAACATGGATTGAGTGACTAAAATAATAAACATTTGTTTTTCACAGATTTGTAGGCTGTAAATCTGAAATCAGGGAGTCAGCATGGTTGGGTTCTTGGTGAAGGCTGTCTTCCTGGTTTACACATGGCTGTCTTACTTTATCCTCACATGGCGGAGAGAAAAATCTCTCTTGTATCTGTTCTTAGAAGGGCACTACTTTCCTTCGATGAGGTTTTCATCTTCATGACCTAATTTCCTCCCAAAGGTTTACCTCCTAATACCAATACATTGAGAGTTAGGATTTCAACATATGAATTTGAGGGATTTGCAGTTCATAATAACTATCAATGTCAGCTCAGTTCAAGCTTGAATTTGTTTTGCTTTGGGTGACGAATCTCTAACTAATTTGAATTCATCTTTCCCCAGTCTGGTTCAGTGTTGTCTTCTTTCTCCTTCACCACCAACAGTTAGCAAGATGTCAGTTTTACTTGAGGCTAAGTCTGTTTTAGTTATCACAATAGAGAACCCTGTAAGCTATATCTTAGTTTCCCCTTTCATAATAATTTTCATTATGGAAAAAATACATTCTAAACATTGTTCCTATTCTAAGAAACTTGGCTGAATCTTTGCAACAAAAATAATGTGGACATTTGCCAAATACAGCTGTAGAGAAAGGTAAAATCATTGCTCTGAATTATTCATAAAATCACAGAAATTAGGGACAAACGCTAAATAAGAATGAATTATTCAGTGACCTGAAACAGATATTTTCTTTAGTTTCTCATGTAATTTGAAATGTACTGCAATTTACATCCTCAGTGTTATAAACATATGATGTTTCTCTTTTAGTGAAAAGCACCCAACAGAACTTGTTAAACAAATGAGTTTTTTTCTCTTCCCATCTCTAAAAGCATAGTTTATACCTACACATGTACAAATATGTTTTAATAGACCTAACCTCTCTATGATGTCATTTTCCCCTTGGGTACCAGAATATGTATTTAGTCCTGTAGAATTATTTAGCTTTCAGGTGCTGAGTTACTATTTCCCAGCAGTTGCATTGCCCAAAGTAATGTGGACATTTTTCTCATTTTAAATTTCACCTCACATGGTCCTTTGGTTTTGTTACATTTTGTACCTATTTTGATTGTTTTTTTCCTCTCTATGGAAATTATTTTCCAAGTAAGGAGAAAAAATGTTGATGTTTTTCCTTATTCAAAAACTATGGTAGATGAAAAAAAATCTGATTAACTCTATTACAGTCTTCCTCAACTTTTTACTGAGATAAACATGAAGGCACTGAAAAGGTGAAATTTTCAGCTATTGAAAATTTGGAATGTAGTACATCATGCCGAGATTTGAGGAAACGTATCAACAATTTAGCAAGGGATGGTAGTAGATACACAAAAAGCAATTAGAAGCAAAAAGGCCTTGGATTCTTTTCATGTTAAAGAAAATATATTCTGAAAGTAAGTACAAAGACCCTTTGTATTTCCTTTATAACCTGTTCCCTAACAGAATACCAGGGCCTATGCCAAGGGAAAAACTGTAGATGTGTTTCTCTTCTGGTGCCGATATGGTCATAGGATGGGGACGCTCGCTCTTTGCTATTTCTGTAACCAATCTTATTATGATATCAATTAATATCAAAACATTTCAAGTCTAGTTACTGACAAGAGAGTAAACTAGAGTGGACTCCTGACTCATAACAAGGATTCAGATCTAGAGTTCTCATAGAGTGAAGAGATTATGTTTGCAACTGAGAAATGAATGTAAAAACTGTAAGGAATCCCTGGAGAGTCTGAAAGTCCCTGAGCCCTGATACACAGAGCAACAATGGCAGTTTAAGGCTGACCACCTCTCATTCCCTCCACTATTTCTCACATAAGAATATTACAGTACACTCTTCACTGCTCTCTCTGCTTCAAGCTTTGCCCTTCCACCTCTCTATTCCACAGAGAAGGTAGAATGCACCTCTTAAAATACAAGGTGGATTATTTTACTCATCTGCTTAAAAACTTTTCAATGGCTTCTCATCTCATTCTGAATAAAATTCAAAGTGCTTTCCAGGCTTACGAGTCCCAGTATGATCCTGAGCCTTGACAATATCTCTGGCAAAATCTCCAGCCTCCCATTGGTCACTCCTGCTCTGTCACACTAGTGTCCTTGCTGTTGTTTTGAAATATAGAAAGCATGATTTTACTTCAGTGTCTTTATCCTTGTTATTTTCTCTGCCTGCCTTCTTCTGTGTCTTCGGCATTCCGTATGACTCATCTCCTCATTCCCCTTAGTCTTTTTTCCATGTGACATTTAAATACAGACATCTTCACTATCTAAAATTGCACTCCCATATCCATAACTTCTTTTATTGCTCTAGATATCCTTACAGCATTTATCATTACCATTTATTAGCTTATTTGTCTTTCTTTACTAAAATGTAAACTAAATACAGACAGAAATTTTTGTAATTAAAAAACACATAACAAAAAAATCTACCATCTTAACAAAATTTTAAGTTTGCAGAACATTTTGTTAATGATATACACATTGTTGTACAGCAGAAATCTAGAATGTTTTTATCTTGCTTGACTGAAACTCCACACCTGGTGAACAGCAACTCCAGACTTCCTGTTTCCTCCAGACCATGACAACTACCATTTTATCTTCTGTTTCCATGCGTTTGGCTACTTTCAATACCTCATATAAATGGAATCACGATATATTTGTCTTTGTATCTGGCTTATTTCACTTAGCACAATATCCTTAAGATTGATACATGTTGAAATATGACAGAATTTCTCTTTTGAAGGCTGAATAATATTCCATTGTGGGTGTGTGTGTGTATATATATATATG